>NC_000004.12:115588047-115739562 GCF_000001405.40 Homo sapiens
CCTACATATTCTGCACTTGTATCCCGGAACTTAAAGTACAACTTAAAAAGAAAACAGAAAATTCAACGTTCTCTGGAGTTCTGCTACTTTTCTATAAAAGTTCCAGGCATAGCCTTCAACTTTCTACCATCAGCTTATTCTACAAAATGAAGGTTCTCTGGCTTTCTCTCTTAGCTTTCAATTGGTGATTGATCACTCTCAAACTTTGTTTTTATTTCTCCAACCACAAAACTGCTTCCAACAGCAGAAGCCATCTGATATCATTATTCTTATACTACAGTTTCCCCCATATTTCTTTAACGCTCTGATACATTGCACTCATCAGTTCATTTCCTTCCAGTATTATTTCATCTTAAGTCACTACTAATGAAAGTTTAATGATCATACTGCTATCACATACCGGGAGCTGTATGAGCTCCACCTACCCACCAGTGATGGGGTCCTAATTGATTGGTGGACAATACAGCTGCAAATTCCATTTCCTGTAAATCCCCAAATCCCATAAAATACTCTTTTGAGACCACTTCTTGTAGCAAATATCACAGGTCAGTTATATGAAAAACATATCATGTGCAGGAGGGCTATTATGGTGTGTTTTTGAATTCATCACCTGCAGGTTGATAACACAGCATTGGTAGAGAGAAGCTGGGTTGTGTTGCAGTCACAACAGGAGATTCAATTGACCCAAGGGGAGCTCTGGAGTTTGAATGTCCCTGCAGAATTATATCAAATTAGGAAAATGAGACTAGACACTTTATACCAATGTTGACCAATAATTAGTCACCATAATTGATCAGTAATTGTTCACTGCCTGAGAAGAAGGCATGATACTGAGGGATCATCTTCAGTCAATAGCAATCTCCAAAGGGTAGCTTAGCTCCAATCTTTCAGTCACCAACAGTTTCAACACATGGAGGAAAGAGTGCTTTAACCCTGCTTTTTTTTTGAGGGGGAGTTTTGCTCTGTCACCCAGGCTGGAGTGCAGTGGTATGATCTCAGCTCACTGCAACCTCCGCCTCCCGGGTTCAAGCAATTCTCCTGTGTCAGCCTCCCAAGTAGCTGGGATTATAGGCGCCTGCCACCATGCCTGGCTAATTACCTTTTTTGGTTTTTTTTTTTTTTTTTTTTTTTGTATTTTTAGTAGAGACAGGGTTTAACCATGTTGGCCAGGCTGGTTTCGATCTCCTGACCTCAAGTGATCCGCCCACCTCAGCCTCCCAAAGTGCTGGGAATACAGGCATGAGCCACCACACCCAACCTATCCCTGCTTTTATTGTGTATGGCTTAAATATTATTTAACTGGTGCTTTTATTATGTATGCTCTTTATATCCTTTGCTCTTACATATTTTTATTCTTATAGTTTGTTCTTAAGACATACTCTTTTTCTTAAATAGCACATCCATACAAATTCTATGCTCAATCTTCTATATTTTTAATTTATTTTAATACAAGTTCTTTGTCTTTTAAAGTTCGAAATGTGTGACGTTAACAAATGTCTAGGCATATAGCTGTTATTTTTTATTTTTTATTTATTTATTTATTTTTTTGAGACGGTGTCTTGCTCTATCACCAGGATGGAGTGCAGTGGCACGATCTTGGCTGACTGCAATCTCCACCTCTAGGGTTCAAGCGATTTGCCTGTCTCAGTCTCCCAAGTAGCTGGGATTACAGGTGTACAACACCATGCCTGGCTCATTTTTTGTATTTTAGTAGAGACGGGGTTTCACCGTGTTGGCCAAGATGGTCTTTATCTCCTGACCTCATGATCCGCCCACCTAGGCCTCCCAAACTGCTGGGATTACAGGCGTGAGCCATCGTGTTGTTATTTTACTTCTCATTAAGTCATGTTGGATTTCCTTATCATAGTCCTGTTATGAAATGGTTTTTAAGTGATTTGTGTTTTTCATCAACTTTTAAAAATTTCTTTGTCTTCTATTATATAAGAGCAATAGGTAATGCAACAACGCTAATTTCTTATGAAAAATCCCACAGACACACCAGAAATAATGTTTGGTAAACTATCTGGGCATCCTGTGGTCCAGTCAAGTTGGCATACAATTAAACAGCACATTTACCAATTTACATATGTTGCCACATACAGTAGATTTTTTCAGTCCCTATCTTGCAATGTCTCCTATTAGCAACATTGACCATTTTACTTCCAAATTGCCTTTACTATTCTTTGTAGGCTGCTTTACATAATGCAACTTATATAAAATATTCATATCTTTTTGTTTTAATATTTTGTTTTAGCTTCACCCCTCATGGATATTGGCTTTAGGTTTGAGAATTTTAAATACGAAGCTAACTGGGAAATTTGTCAATTTCACTTCAGTTTTGGCTTCTACGTTTAGATGTATTTGATAAGATCTCTTCAACAATTTTATTAAATAGAGTTAAAATTAGAATATTAAACTAATCATTTTGTAGCTCATTGGATTTTTTAACTGGAGTGCATGCCATTTTATGATAGTGGTATTAGAAAAGCCAGTGAATAAAATAACATTGTATTTTAAGTTTAAAAATAGAAACTGTTGTGCCAATAGTGTAAGTTTAGTTACACTATTGAGTAAATAAAAGAATATTATGTTTCAACCACTTACTTCATAACCTCATGACACTTATTTGTCCATTGGTTACTATATCAAAAGCGTAGAGGACTTTATTTCCTGAACTCCTTTATGTTATCACTATCACAGATACTGCCACCATTTTATGAGATTTCAATAGACAACAAAGCCTCAAGAACTCTCTTACTCAGTTCATGACTTCTTAATCCCCAATGAATTTTTCTTTCTCTTCTCTAAAACATTCATTTACATAGTCACAGTCTCAAAATGAGATAAGCATAAAAATGTGTGCCAAAGCACTAATAAATTAATTTTATTGCTTAACTATAAAATCTCATTTTTACAGTGCAGTTTTTAACCTCATTATATCTTTCATTCAACTGATATTGAAAATCTATCACCATATTTAATTTATGGATTTTCCTCATTGTACATCACTGTTATCATTTTGTGGGTACCATCAATTAATCTCCACCCTTTCTTCTCTCCCTCTCCTTTTTGTCCTACCTGCTTGAAAAACACTTTATTCTCTAATGAACCTAATGTAAACTCTTTTGGCACCCATACTGTGAATCTAACAATAGTTGGAGGAAATAAAATATATCCAAGCTAAGGTAATTGTATTTTAAAGATCACCAAATTCAACTCTCCCACTACACTCTGTTTCTTCAGGTCAATGATTTCATAATTCAATATTGCTTTTTGAACCTTTCACTTCTTCATGTGCCTATGTTTCCATTCCTCAGTTACTGACCTACACTTCTATTTTATTTAATAAATAAAAAATGGATTGTAACTCTCTTTATTTCCACTTAATGTTCATATATGGAGATTTTTACAACTGTACTGTGTCCTCTTGTAACAATAATATCCTTCCTATCAAAATCCAATTTCTCTTTAAGTATCCAGGATTTCGTCTTTCTCTACTTAGAAAATATCCATAATTTGGTATCCTATTTTGATTTCACTATTTATACCTCTCCACATTAACTCAATTACTTTAACATTTTTATAATCATACAAACATAATTTGTGTACTCTTATTAAAAATAAAATAGGACAAGCAAAGAAGCAAATGAACTACATGTGTTGACCCTACTATTTCCTAAATCTACTGATATCTGCTCATCTACACTGTAAAGAATGCTCTAAATTTCATGGTTCAATTTTTTTCTCATTTATTTTTTAGCTTACTTCTATGTGCCATATCCACCCACCAATGTGCTAAAATTTTGCTATAAATTCACTGTATTAGTCAGTGTTCTCCAGTGAAACAGAATCAATAGGATACACATACACACATGTATACATAGAAATTTATTATAAGGTATTGACTTCTGTGATTATGGAGGCTGAGAAGTTTTACAGTCAGCCATCTACAAGCTGGAGACCCTGGAAAGCCAGTGGTATAGTCCAAAGTCCAGAGAGCCAGGGACACCAAGGGGATGGGAGGATCAATGTCTCAGCTAAAGAGTAAAACACACTTAATTCAACCTTCCTCTACCTTATTGTTCTATTCAGTCTCTCAAAGAATTGAATGCTTTGCATCCACAAGGAGGAGGGCCATCTGTTTTACTCCATCCACAAATTCAAATGAAATGATAATCTTCTATGGAAACTCTCACAGACACACCTGTTGCGGGAAGTCAGGGACCCCGAACAGAGGGACTGGCTGGAGCAGCAGCAGAGAAACATAAATTGTGAAGATTTCATGGACATTTACGAGTTCCCAAATAATACTCTTATAATTTCTTACACCTGTTTTACTTTAATCTCTTAATCCTATTATCTTTGTAAGCTGAGGATGTACGTCACCTGAGGTCCACTATTGTGTTAACTGTGGAAATTGATGGTAAAACGTGTGTTTGAACAATCTGAAATCAGTGCACCTTGAAAAAGAACAGAATAGCAGCGATTTTCAGGGAACAAGGGAAGACAACCATAAGGTCTGACTGCCTGCAGGGTTGGGCAGAATACAGCCACATTTTTCTTCTTTCAGAGAGCCTATAAACGGATGTGCAAGTAGGGAAGATATCGCTAAATTCTTCTCCTAGCAAGGAATATTAATATTAAGACCCTGGGAAAGGAATTGCATTCCGAGGGAGAATTCTATAAATGGCCGCTCTGGGAGTGTCTGACTTACACAGTTGAGATAAGGACTGAAATAACACCCTGGTCTCCTGCAGTACCCTCAGGCTTACTAGGATTAGAAAACCCCACCCTGGTAAATTTGAGGTCAGACTAGTTATCTGCTCTTGAACCCTGTTTTCTTTTAAAATGTTTATCAAGACAATATGTGCACAGCTGAACACAGACCCTTACCAGTAGTTCTGTTTTGCCCTTGGCCTGTTTCCTCAGAAGCATGTGATCTTTGTTCCCATTTTTGCCCTTTGAAGCATGTGATCTTGTGACCTACTCCCTGTTTGTGCACCCCCTCCCCTTTTGAAATCCTTATAAAACTTGCTGGCTTTAAGGCTCAGGTGGGCATCACGGTCCTACTGATATGTGATGTCACCCCTGGACGCCCAGCTGTAAAATTCCTGTCTTTGTACTCTTTCTCTTTCTCAGCCAGCCGACACTTACGGAAAATAGAAAGAACCTATGTTGAAATACTGGTGGCGGGTTCCCCTGATACACACCAGAAATAATGTTTAGTAAACTATCTGTGAATCCTGTGGCCCAGTCAAGTTGACATATAATTAAACATCACATTTGCCAATTTACGTTTGTTTTCACATACAGTAGATTCAGTCCTTATCTTGCAGTGTCCCCTATTAGCTACTTACTGGACAATTGCTTTCTTCTATAAATATTCTCTTACACTTTCTATGGCAACACAATTTCTATTTTTTTTCCTACTTTTCTAACCACTGTTTCCAGGCTGTTTTCCAGGCTTGTTCTTTTTCAAAATTCATCATGATTCATGTTATTTCAATCCAAACGAAAATAAAATAAAAATAAAACCAAAAATAAAGATAATAACTTAATAAAAATTTTAAAATTTAAACCAAAAAGAAACAAACTAATAAAACAATAAAACAGATATGCTTATCAAGCACTTATCGTTTGCCAGGATGATTGCTAAGTGACTTTACATGGCTTTTCCTATTTGAACTAGATAAGAACTTTATTAAGTCTCCACCTAAATTTGGAGATGATTGAACTGAAGACAGTGTATGACTAGTTCAAGGTGATGCAGCTCTTCTTTTTTTTTTTTCTCTCCTTCCATGTTATTTGTGATCTAAACCACTTCTATTATTTTAAATGGCATCTCTTGGTCATGACTTCCAAAATTTATGTCTCCTAGTCAAATTTCTCTATTACATGCAGCACATACATACAAGCATTTCTTTGCATACATAGTCAGATGCTTCTTATACATCTCTTAATGAAGATTTTCAAAACTAAACTCCTTTTCACTCCCATACTCCCACCGCCTTTCTCAAATATTCTACCTCTAAGTAGATGATCTAAATAGATGCAGTTACTCAAATTCAAAATCCTGGTGTGGGTACATTATTCTTACCTATCACATTAACAATATTCAATTTTTCAACAACTGGTGGTGGGTGTACAACATATATTGAGGACTCAGCTACTCACATCTATCTCAAATGTCAGCATCTTGGTCAAAACCACAACTATCACTCACCTAGATTTTTGGAAAAATCTACTAATTCCACACTGGCCCCATTGCCAATCTAGTCACATTTTGCACAGCAGCCAGAATGCTCTTTATGAAAGGAAAATAAGACTGTGTCATCTCCCTGATGAGCAATACTTAATACACTCAAGACAAACTATAGAAGTCAACATCTGGCCTGTGAGAAAGTGCATTATCTTTCTCCTACCCACTACTCCAGTATTATTTGGGCCATTTGTTTTCTTATTTATTTCTTTCTCTACAGTGTTTTGTATTTCTCTCTGTCTCTATCCCTCTCTCTTTCTTTAATTTACATAATTTTATTCTAAATGATATATAAATATAACTAATGCCTTTAATTTAAATAAATATTTAAAGTATACGCACACATATTTAGTCTTAGGGACTTTGCATGTACTCTCCCTCCACCTAAAATCATTTCACTCTATAATGTACCTGGTTTCTCCTAGTAATGTTAATGGTTTGAGCTTAATTCTGACTTTGCCAAAATCATTCTTCCCCAGTAATTCCACATATCCCTTTCCTCAGTCAAAATTAGAACCCTCCTCTCATATGTCCTCATAACATTCTGTCATTTTATTTTATAGTTAAGTATGTTTAGATGACTTATAAAAATAGACATCTGACTGGGTGCAGTGGCTCATGCCTGTAATCCCAGCACTTTAGGAGCCCAAGGCAGGTGGATCACCTGAGGTTGGGAGTTTGAGATCAGCCTGACCAACATGGAGAAACCCCATCTCTACTAAAAATACAAAGTTAGTCAGGCATGGTGGCACATGCCTGTAATCCCAGCTACTCAGGAGGCTGAAGCAGGAGAATCGCTTGAACCTGGGAGGTGGAGGTTGTGGTGAGCCAAGATCGCATCATTGTACTCCAGCCTGGGAAACAAGAATGAAACTCCGTCTAAAAAAAAAAAATAGACATATATGCTACAATTGTGCTAGATTTAGCCTCAATGATATGTCTGTAGCAGAATTAAAAAAAAAAAACAAAAAACAAAACCCAGGGGAAACCGGCCATAAGAAATTTGGCTTATTTTTAATTTCAAAATAGTGAAGTAACCAGATAACAATTATATTTTATAAAAATTATGTTGTATGAAATTTTTCTCTTCATAAAATACAAAGAACTTTTGTTAGTTTACTTTTTTAAAAAGTAATTTTTAGTTAAAAATCTTATTGCTCACAAAGTGACAGTGAGTATGTGATTATATATTACATGTATAAAATTTCAGTTTATTAGCAGTAATATTCTCATGGAAATTTACTTACGATAGGGACCAAGTATCCAGCAATGTCATCATTACAAAAGCTTTTTGAAACAATTTGGAGAAAATTAACTTTCTTAGTATTGCTCAAAACACCTAAAATCATAATTAATAAATTCTTACTCTCTATTATTATCTTTTTGAATAATAATTGGTCAAAGCAATCCTGTGACTGTAAAGATAGGAAAATAGCTTTGGTTAAACATTTTTAAAACACTTGAAATATGAGGCCTGATATGATTTAGATCTGAGTCACTGCTCAAATCTCATGTTCATTTGTAACTCCTAATGTTGGAGGTGGGGCCTGGTGGCAGGTGATTGAATCTTGAAGGTGGATCCTTCATAAATGGTTTAGCGCCATCCCTTTGGTTTTGTTCTCATGATAGATTTCTCATGAGACCTGGTTGTGGCAGCTCCTCCCTCAGTATCTCTTCCTCCTGCTGTGACCACATGAAGTGATTCCCCCTTTGCCTTCTGCCATGATTGGAAGTTTGCTGAGGCCTCTTCAGGAGCAGAAGCCACTATGCTTCCTCTACAGCCTGCAGAATCATGAGCCAATTAAACTTTTTTCTTTATATGCAAGAATAGCTAATACAGAAAATTGGTACCAAGGAGTGGGGCATTGCTATAAAGATACCTGAAAATGTGGAAGTGACTTTGGAACTGGGTAATGAGCAGAGGTTGGAAGATTGTGGAGGGCTCAGAAGAAGACAGGAAGATGAGGGAATGTTTGGAACTTCCTGAAGATTTGTTACATTGTTATAATCAAAATGCTGATAGTAACATGGACAATGAAGTCCAGGATGAGGAGGTCTCAGATAGAAATGAGGAACTGATTGGGAGGTTGAGCAAGGGTCATTTTTATTATGCATTAGCAAAGAGACTGGCGTCATTGTGCCCCCGCTCTAGGGAACTGTGGAATTTGACCTTGAGAGTGATGATACAGCGTATCTGGCAGAAGAAATTTCTAAGCAGCAAAGCATTCAGAGGTTCTTTAGAGGCATCTAACACTGTATGCTTATTTGCATGAGTATGGAAATGATGTAAAATTGGAACTTATATTTAAAAGGGAAGCAGAGCATACAAATTTGGAAAATTTACAGCCTGGCCAGCCAAGTGGTAGAAAAGAAAAACCCATTTTCTAGGGAGGAATTCAAGAAGACTGGAGAAATTTGCATAAGTAAAGAAGAGCCAAGTGCTAATATCCAAAACAATGGGGAAAAGTCCTCCAAGGCATTTCAGAGACCTTTGCAGAAGTTCCTCCCAATACAAGCACTGAAGCCTACAAGGATAAAATGGTTTCATGGGAGAGGCCTAGGGCCCTGCTGTCCTGCACAGCCTCAGGACACTGCTCCCTGTATTCTAGCTGCTCCAGTTCCAGCCATTACTCAAAAGGGTCCAGGTACAGCTTGAGCCACTGCTCCAGAAGATGCAAGCCATAAGCCTTGGTGGTTTCCACATGGTGTTAAGACTGCAGATGTGCAGAGTGCAAGAGCTGGGGCTTGGGAGCCTCTGACTAGATTTCAGAGGATGTATGGAAAAGCCTGGGTGTCCAGGCAGAAGCCTGCTGCAGGGCAAAGCCCTCATAAAGAACCTCTACTAGGGTAGTTGCAGAGGGGAAATGTAGAGTTGGAGCCTCTACACAAAGTTCCCACCAGGGCACAGCCTAGTGGAGCTGTGAGAAGGGATCCACCATCTTCCAGACTCCATAATGGTAGATACATTGACAGCTTTCACCCGTCACCTGGAAAAGCCACAGGAACTCAACTCTAGCCCATGAGAACAGCCATAGACCCTGAACCCTGAGAAACCACATGAGCAAAGCTGCCCAAGACTTTGGGAGCTGCCCAGGGCTGTGGGAGCTCACTCTTACATCAGCATGACCTGGATGTGAGACACAAAGTCATAGAAGACTATCTTGAAACTTTAAGGTTTAATGATTGCTCTATTGGATTTTGGACCTTCATGGGACTTGTAACCCCTTGGTTTTGGCCAATTTCTCCCATTTGGAATGGGTGTAGTTCATCAATGCCTGTATTCTCATTGTATTTAGGAAGTAACTAAGTTGCTTTGATTATACAGCTCATAGGGAGAAGGGACTTGCCTTGTCTCAGATTAAACTTTGAACTTGGATTTTTGGGCTAATGCTGAAATGAATTAAGACTTTAGGGGACTGCTGGGAAGACATGAATGTGTTTGAAATGTGAGTACATGAGATTTTGGAGAAGCCAGCATTGGAATGCTATGGTTTGGCTGAGTCCCCACCCAAATCTTATATTGAATTGTAATAATCCCCATGTTTCAAGGGCAGGACCAGGTGGAGATAATTGAATCATGAGGGAAGTTTCCCCTATACTGTTCTTATGATACTAAGTGAGTTCTCATGAGATCTGATAGTTTTATAAGGGGCTTCCCCCTTCACTCACACTCATTCTCTCTCCTGCCATCTGGTAAAGAGGTGCCTTCCACCAAGATTGTAAGTTTCCTGAGGCCTCTCCAGACATGTGGAACTGTGAGTCAATTAAATCTCTCTTCTTTGTAAATTACCCAGTCTCAGGTATTTCTTCACAGAAGTGTGAGAACAGACAAATACAGGAGCCCACTCCTTGCACCAGAGTGCCCTGGATGTGGGACAAATAAATGAGATTATTTGGAAGCTTTAAGATTTAATGACTGCCCTGCTGGACTTGCACAGGGCCTGTAGCCCCTTTCTTTTGGCTGATTTCTCCCTTTTGGAATGGAAGTATTTACCCAATGCTTGTGCTCCCTTTGTATCTTGGAAGTAATTAACTTGTTTTTGATTTTACAGGTTCATAGGCAGAAGTTACTTGCTTTGTCTCTGATGAAACTTTGGACTGTGGGCTGGAGTGAGTTAAGACTTTGGGGGACTGTTGGAAAGGCATCATTTTATTTTGAAATATGAGAAGGATGTAAGATTTGGGAGGGGCCAGGGGTGGGATGATATGGTTTGGATCTGTGTCCCCATCCAAATCTTACGTCAAACCATAATCACCAATGTTGGAGATGGGGCCTAGTGGGAGGTGATTTGATCATGGGGGTGGATCCTTTATGAATGGTTTACACCATTCCTTTGGTACTGTTCTCATGACAGAGTTCTCACTACATCTGGTTGTTTAAAAGTGTGTAGCACCTTTCCCTTACATCTCTCTCAGTCCTTCTCCTGCCATGTAAGATGGCCTGCTCCCACTTTGCCTTCTGCCATGAATAAAAGCTCTCTGAGGCCTCCCCAGAAACAGATGCTGTCATGCTTCTTGTATACCCTGTGGAATCATGAGCCAATTAAACCTCTTTTCTTTATAAATTACCCAGACTCAGGTATTTCTTAGCCATGCAGGTATTATAGCCATGCAAGAACAGACTAATACAAGACCATAATAAGTCTTGTGTCTCACAACTGTTACAATGTCTTAAAGGATTCAGACTTAATTTCTTACACATTTTAGTTTTTTAAACAATGCCTTTTTAATGTTTTGATGTAAGTGCTCCAATATGATATAATTCAAATACAATTTCTAGCCAAAAGAAATATCACAAGAGTCTGTTTTCACAGGTATATTTATTCACATATGCCATTAATCATCATTCTCTGGTAAGTAGGAGAACACTTGGATTCTTAAAAAAAGTCACAATAAAATTTTACTTTAATCATAAGCTGAACATATCTTTGGACCATATTTTATTAGAATTAGATTTACTCTTGGCTAAATTTTTGTTGTGTCCTTTCAAATCTGAGATTGCATGAATTAGAAAGCTGGAAAATCAATGAGCCTGTTTTGGTGTCAGCATAAACACATGATGGCATTTCCAAGAAGGGTCACACCTTGCTGAAAGAGAAGAAAATCAAAATTCCCAGAGCCATTCATCCTTTTAGGGTCTGTTATCCAATCAAATAAATGAGCTACTCTTATTTCATAAAAAACAACTTGCTTTTATTATTTGTGTTGTAAGAAGAAAAAACTGCCAAAAGCCAAATGAATGCTGTAACATACCTTACCCAAATCTGGTATTTAAATTCTTTGGAATACACAGCCAATAGTCATAGTACTAGGTCAGCCAAAAAATACTTCATGTGTAGAGGTAAGATTACAGATATTGACTTGAATTAATGGTATCTATAAAAGTATCTGTTTGGCTTTGTGATTATTGTCTCTAATCTACAAAAGTATTTTTATATTTTCTTTTCTAACTGCAATTTTGACATAAGTAACTATTTTATTGTAATAAATCATGTTGTTATAGCCTTAACATCTAATAAAATATTTAAACTTTACAAAATGCTTTCTGAAAAATAAAGGAGATAACATTTAATAGTATCTTATTTGTTTATCTTGGAAAAACAATGGCAACAACAGAAACATTTTACAAAATAAGAGATCAGTTTACTTTTCCACTGAAGCTCTTACTATCCAAAATACAAAGATAAACTGGCATAAGGTCAAATTACAGATGAAAAATAGAATGAAAGAATAAGTGAAATGGACATCTCCCCATTATCCTCTTTTAAAGGTTATTTTCATCTTGACAAAGTATCTCCTTCCATGTCACAGTGATTCAATTGGCTTTATGCAATCCAAATATCATTTGAGACTCTCCCTTTTTCATAAATATTTGCCAAAAAAAATTTTCTTTTGAGAATAAGTAACTTATAACCTGACAGTTGTAAGTCAGGTCATTATTTTTTATTAAAACAAAAAACTTTTAGCAATTTTAATTTAAAATTTCTTCACCAATAATTGGAAAACATGTACTTAGTTTAAATAGATTATTAGCTGTATTCCTTGAGCAACTCTTACAATTCCTCCTAAGGGAAAGCTTAATCATTTGTAAGCCCTGTTGGCAAAATGGCATGTAGTACCAAGGAAAACACATTATTGGAAAAATTCATCAGAGGTCACATACTGTGGCTACTTAGGAAAAGTGGCACATCCAAAAATGGTTATATTTTAAAGATGAGATTTCTACTCTTTGTGTTAAAAATATGGTAACTCAAAACAAATGTAGTGTTATCTCATTCACGCATGCTTTTTTTGAGGTAAAATACATATAAAATTTACCATTTTTGCAGTTTTAAAGTGTACAATTCAATGGCATCTGATACATCCACAACATTGTGGAACCATCACCACCATGTAGTTCCATGTTTTATAGGTATGTATTGCAGGCATATGAAGAGAATTAAAAAATGAAAATAAAGTCATGATTTCTACATTCAGTCTTAATTCAGCCTTCATATCTGCTCTGTTCCTTTGAATAGAATTTTTAAACTTTGGAGCCACATTTTACTAATCTCTAAAATGTACGTGTGTGTGCACATGTTCGTGTGTGTGTGTTTTTAAACTTTAAGGGATCTCCAAAGTCTAATTTTATGTTTCTGAGAGAAGCCTGATATTAATGTGATATATGACACATTAATTTAAGACAAAAGTCTAAAAGACAAATAGATTACTCAAGCCACAAAAACAGTGTATCATTTGTATTTTTAAAGTTTTCCTACTTTTAACAACTAAATATGTTTAAACTAATTTAAATGAGACTTTTACTGAGAAAGCATTGCTTAGCTTTGATAGCTAACTTCTCAATTATAATCCATGTTATGGTGGTATCTAAGGATTTCCATCCTGGCTTGCTGAGTACAGTTTTTAACTATAACAACCATTGACTTTATTTTTTAAAAAAATCTACCAGGTATTTGTTTTTTTGCCATTTCTGTACAGTTTTTTCTGTTTTTATTTAATGGATATTTTTGTTTTAATCTTTGTATGTCATTAAATTTTAAATGTTTCTTGGCTCATTACCAGAAGCATAATATGAATATTTGTTTCTTGCCTTGAAGCTATATTTTTAAATGTACCCTTTTTAAAAGTAAGCATATCATTTTAGTTTTGTTTCATGACTATAATATTTGATTTTGTAATTTATAAATTTTGGGGTTTTCTTTAAGTTCGATTATTTTGCTGAACTACATGAATTTTTTAGGCCCCCATTAACTTTTTAATGAGATTCCTAAATACTTAGTCTCCTATAAATTTTATTATAACTTACCTTAATATTTTCAGCCACAAATGGACCCATTGAAAATGTACTTGAATATGGTAGCCATGTCAAAATTCCACAAAAGTTTCTAAAATATTCTATCAATTTTTGACTTTCTCTAGTTCTAGACTGGTAATTAGTTGTTTAGCAACCAGTGCTTGTGAGCAGGCTGCACTTTTAGTAGAAATGTTTTACTAGTCTCCTTGGTATCTCAGCAACATAGTCCTCAACCAAGAAAAGATCAAGAAAGTGGACTCATGGACTCATATTTAAGAATTCTCTGGTCTTCCAATGTTTTCCATTACCTAGAAGTGGCAAACCTGGAAAAACAGTAAAATAGCTTATCGTATAATCAGTTAAGATGCCAGTAGGTTAAAACATTTTCTGCAAGCACAGGAAGCTGTTCTATAGCCTTTATTGTATTTTTTTTAAGGTCATCATATACCTTATCATGTAAGCTACTATACCTTGTTGAGGAAAAGGAAAAAAATATTCAAAATGATGAAAATAAAAGCTGTGAACTGGTACTGTTTGGGGATAACTCCAAAATATAGTTACCCCCACCTTCAACCCAGGGCCATTTGGTATGGTCTCCTCCACGGAAAGAAAGCAAAGGACTGGGATGCATGAGAGTGAGTGAGAATAACTTCCCTCACTATCATACCTAATCAACCACTTATAAAATTGTTATGTTCTATTTCTTTTGTCTTAGAGTCATTAAGTTTTGCTGTCCTGGTACCTAAGGAGGAATGCTTTCACCAGGGAACCCATCTATCGTTCTGTTACATTAAGAGAAGGTAAGAAAGTTCCCCTCTCATTCAAGCCTTCTATGACACTGACCCAACAGGCAGAGAGGAGTTAATGTACTGTCTAAGGGATTTATCTTGATTACTAAAAGGAAATTGAGCTGCTCTTCCATAATGGTGTCAAGAACAGCTATATAATCATATTGCAAAGTGAAGAGCGTCTCTAAAATTCATTCTAGTTTTTCCATGCTGAATAATCATGGTCAATCTATCAGGACAGAAACACAGAAAACTTGGACCCATGGGAATGAAGACTTGTGTCAATATAACTCTTTACATAAAAATATCCAACCAGCAGATATACCAGCAGATACAGAGGGTAAGACGAATATAGAATAAGTCATACACGAAAGATTTTTTTGCCTAGGCCTAATGACTAGTTACATAAAAGCAACCATCTTTTATGTAAATTTATCAATGTATTTGCCCTCCTACCTTTCCTGAGTCTTTCATTCAAATGAAATATCTGAGTCAATGTTAAAGGCAAAAAGGTGAAAAGATTGTGAAAGTTACTCTGTTAGTTGTCCATCCACATTCATATTTCTACCTGCTCTATCCTGTTACAAGCACTGAAAAACTTATTTCCAGGTGCTAACAACTGACATCTAAAAAGCCCCTGAATCTCCTTCCAAGAGGGTTTGTCCAGTGGAAGGAACTGAAAGGGGTTGAAGAACAGTTGAAGAGAGAAGTCACAGGATTTACTATCCTGGCTCACATGAATCTCTGTTTGGCTGTACTTTGACAGTGATTGCTCACCACATTTTTAAAAAATAGCCCCAGCAATCAGATTTTATAAGTACTAGTTCCCTATTTCCTACCAGCCTAGGGGTGGTAAGGAATGACCGCTCTTGCTAGCACTGTACAATTCACCATCCTGTGTTAGGTTTTCTTAAGCTTTTCTTTACTTTTATTAATAGCATTGCATTAAACTCCTCATTTATGCATTTTTAGTCACCCTCTGTTTCATGTTAGAATTCTGACCAATCCTATAATGGACATTTGACACTGTTAGAATTGCTGAAGACCTTTTCTTTTTTAAAAAAATTTATCTGTACTAATTATAATTTTCATTGTGTATAGAATAACTGCTGCTGGTAAAGGTCAAAGAAGGTGGGATTTAATAAAGAAGTAAGAAAGAGGATTATTGATATAAGGTAGATGAAAATTGGTCTTTCATTTTATAGTTGTATCTATATTAACATTACATACACATACATACATATATACTGAGAAATTACTTCATGAATAATAATTCATAAAAATAAATGAGCTGCTTGAGAGCAAAGACTTGATACAGTTTAAGGTCATAAGTAAATTTCTCTGCACATGATACAGCATTTTTGAAATAGGAATTAACAGAAAAGAGATAAAAGACAATGCAAATTCAAAAGTGAAAAGACCAACTAGGTAGAGATGTAGAAAGCTAGTGAACATGAAATTTCTTAGGGAAAGGTTGACAACCAACTTTTTATTACTATTAGAGACATATCCACTGTAGATTATTTATTCTATTGTATAATAACATTAATCCATCTCCTCAAATATTTAGTAAAAACTGGTACACCAAGAAAAGGCTTGAATAATAGAATTAGGAGTAAAAATAGTGCAAAGCATTGACATAAATGATGGCCTACCCAACATTCACGCCTCTGCTTCAGTTAAAATGGCAAGGCCAGCACCGAGAAGATAATACAAGTCTTTTGCTATTTTCAGCCATGACAAAAGCAGCAGAGTGAATGCACTGGAGACGAGAATGGCAAAGAAAAAAAGCTACGTCCTAGAACTGCCCTCGGAAATGATTAAGACAAATTCCTTTTTGGCCTAATATACTAAGGAAAGAGGAAGATTGACACTCGGGTTACTTTTTAAATGATATTTTTATTACAATCTTTAATATGAAGTTTTATAAGTCAGGAATCATGCATGTTCATCAGTAAAATAAGCATCACATTTATAATACTTACGTTTAACATATTTTGAATGAATTAGATTCTATATGGTAAGACAATTTTATTTCACCTACGGTCTTTTCATACACTTCTCCTGAATATAATCCCCTGAAGACATGTTTTTCTTTCACTTTCTGGTTCCCCATTTTCTCTCCTTATTTGCTGTTTTATCCCCTTTGGTATGACAGGGCAAGTTTCGGGAGGTCAATGAAGATACAGGGAAGGTTTTCAGATGATTGGTTTCGTGTAATTGGGTCATGTACTAATCTTTATTTGGTAGGTTCAAAACTTCTTGCACTTTCCCTTAGGTGATGCTTATGTGGATTTCCTAAAAAATTCGTTTGCTGTGCATTTCAGCAGTTCACACTGTTAATTAAGAAATTTTCCTTCTGATTGGCCATTCTTCCTACAACCCCTGTTTGGTACCTCTGTTTGTATATCCTGGCCTTTTCAGGCATATCTATTAGACAGAGATGGCTCAGTCTAACTCCATTTTGCCAGGTTCACAGGAGAGTTATAGGCATCCTTACCCCATCAGTTTCTGGGGGTGTCAGCTATCCCTGCTCTGCTGCCCACAGTCGTGATTCTAGTCATCATTGCTCACCTTTGACTTGTGTAGATGGAGTCAGTATACCCTGGTTCCATGACTTTACAGCAAACTCTTTCAGTGTTTAGTTTGAAGACCCTCAACTGGCTTGATACAGATAAAAACACTTCTTCTCATTCCCCATGAGTTAGAGTTGAGAAAGAAAATACAAGGAAAACCATCAGCTCTCTTTACAATAGAAACTTTTCTTTGTTTTATAAATAATTCACATATACCTGGATGTACATATATATATATGTGAATATACATACACAAACATATGTATATTCATTTATATACATCTTCAAAAGTAGTAGTCTATTTAATCTCCTTAGTGATTACTTTTTATTTAAAAGGATGGAGGTAATGGGCCAGGTGCCTTGGCTCATGCCTGTAATCCCAGCACTTTGGGAGGCCAAGGCGGGCGGATCACCTGAGGTTGGGAGTTCGAGACCAGTCTGACCAACATGGACAAACCCAGCCTCTATTAAAAAAAAAAAGCAAAATTAGCCAGGCGTGGTGGTGCATGCTTGTAATCCCAGCTACTCCGAAGGCTGAGGCAGGAGAATCACTTGAACCCGGGAGGCAGAGGTTGCAGTGAGCCCAGGTCGTGCCATTGCACTCCAGCTTGGGCAACAAGAGCAAAACTCCATCCCCCCACACCCACAAAAAAGCATGGAGGCAATGATATGCTGTTTGTGAGAGTACCCTTTAATATCTGTTTAGTGTATCCTGCAGCAGAGATCTCTTCTCTGTCTTTAGGATGCAGGACTACTTGAAACCAATAATTTATTATTTGCTTTCAGTTTGGGAGCCACAGTCCAAATGAAGAAAATCAAGTCTCCTTGTAAGTGCTTGCACATGTTTAAAATATTGTAAACCTATACACTGTTGGTTGTTTTAAAGAACAAACATCATTTTACATTGCAAATATATTATTTTAATTTTGAGTGATATTAATTTGTGTTCTTTATTTCTTTTTTCCATTTTACTTTTCACTCTTTCCCCCTCAATTCTCTTACGATTAAAATTCTCTCCTCAATTCTATTAGGATTCAATAATTTAATACTTTCAGTGCCGATTTTCCCAGGGGATGTATATAACCAAACACAATTGAACCTTTTTAAAAATACATCATGTTTTTTTTAAAAAAAACCTTTGACATTCCATGACATTAGGCAATTTGATAGTCTAGTCATAGACAAAATTGTTGATAGATATTCAGGGATTATAACAGGGCATCTGTCAAGTACGAAGACTTCCTCTAAAGACTAGAAAATATTTTTCCTGGATTTAGGCTAAAGAAGGGGCAAATGATAAAACAATGTTCCAGTTTAGGGTCTGTAGCCTGTGTGGTGGAAGACAGAGAAGTCCTGTGCCCTGCTTTTTATAGGCATCCAGTAAAGCTTATTAAAAAAATAGCATGTATGAACTCAGTCACTCTGGGCTATACAGAGGTTCTTTGAGAGCTATTATCCCAGCACAATGAAAAATTGCAGATGGATTCTCAGCTACAGCCTGACATTACTACAGAGTGCTGCTGATCCTGAGTCTTTAGAGACAGTAGGGAAGAACATGCTCACATTTACAATTTGGAAACAAATAAACAGATGTAATGAGGCATCTCAACAATTTGGTTGACATGCATGTAGACAAATGATGCCAGGGCTACATGTGTTTCCTACTACTAGTATAATGGCCTACCAGCATTTTCACTCAACTGGAAATCTTCACTTCTGAAAATGGAGATAAGTAGCACATTAACTAAGATGAACTTTTTCCTATCTTAATGAAAAGGTGATTCAAAATAAAGATTAACCTGAGTTCCCCAAAAAATATGCACTAATGCATATCAGAGCTAAGACTGAAAACTGGACAGTGTTTCTGTGTGTGTATAAGAGAACATACACCAAATGAATACAAGTATTTAGAAAATAATATTTGTATATTACAGATGTCATTTGGCTGTATAATCAAGAAGATGAGTGGCAAATAAATTGTAAGTTCATATGGAATAATGAAAGAATAAATTTAACATTTCATAAATAATTTAAATCTAATTTATTATACACAAGCTATCTTTGTCCCTTCATAGCACAGAGAATTTTTTAAAACCTGCAGAGAACAGGGTGATGTTTTCCATTATCACTTTGAGTTAAAGCTCACCGCATGCAATGCCTTAGGCGTAATAAATTACTCAATTCTACAAACATTATTTATGCCGCCAGGTGCCTTATTTTCATAAAGAATCAATTTTCCATAATCCCTGGAATAATTAAATTACACAAACAATATTGTGAAAACACATACAGAAAAACTAAGCCCAGAAATATTTAATCGCTTATGGGAAAAAATGAATGATAGAAATGTTAAGTAATGAAATATTAAATGATTATTTTTAAAACATGATGGTTAATTTGCCTTTGCATGTAATTTGTACACTGTGCATATTGACTCCTAAGACCAACGTATCATCCCCCAATCCTCTCTAATTGCAAAACTGTCAGGCTCCTTACTTTGGCAAGCAGTGCCCTGTTCCAATAGCTGTTCAAAAAATCAGTGCTGATGAGAAGACTTGTGCCAGAACTCGTAAGCAATTAATTTCTTCACCGATCTCTGGAATTCATCCAAACTCTTCAAAACTGAAAAGAGCCTTGCCATACTGTCACTCATGGATATATTTCCAATTAGGCTGTCTAATAATTTCACCTTGAAGTGGTGAGATTAACTAAATCTAATATTAAGGTATTTGGTTCCTATTTTAGTGTATAAATGTATAATGCATACTTCTATCAGTGAAAGATGTTTATTAAAAACAAACCAATGAACAGAGCTAGTTCCTGTTAAAACACATTTGGACCAGAAAATAATATTTATTTCAACATGCAACAAAAATAAAGCATCCTGATCAAATATCTTGAGATTATCCTTCTTCGAGGAATAAACTTGTCACACCCCATATTTGCCTTCTCAGAGAATCCTCATGACTATAATTTCCTCATATATATAAGGAAATTACATATATATACATATTATGTGTAATAAATACATATATTCATATTTTTATCTGTACCTAAATACCTCTTACCACTTACCATTTCCTCTCCAGTCCATGTCACCAATATTTCACTCCTGTACTGATTTCAAACTTACCTTCCTAATATCTGTTTTCCATATATGAATCATAGTCATTGCGTTAGTTTTCTAGGGATGATATAACAAAATCACAGGCTGAATGGCTTAAAGAAATATAAATTTATTCCCTCACAGATCCAAGATGAAAGTGTCAGCAGGTTTGGTTTCTCTTAAGGACTTCTTCCTTGACTGGCAGATGACTGCCTTCTCTATGTGTCCTCACATGGTCTTTCCTCTGTTTGCATGCATCCCTGGTGTCTCTCTGTGTATATAAATTTCCTTTTATTATAAGAAAACCATTCAGATTGGATTAGAACCAACTTATATGACCTCATTTTACCTTCATTACCCCCTTAAATGCCTCAATTCCCAAAGCAGTCACTTCTGGAATTACTGAGATTTAGGGCTTCAATATACAAATTTTGGGGTAACAAATCCAGCCCTTAATAATCATCCTTTTCAAGCCAAAGTAATACTCTGTCATACCTGTGGTGTGATTACTTCCCAAAACATCTAAAATGAAAGTAGCATTTGGTTCTCTCTTCAATATCTTTCTCACAATTTTCCACCCCTGTACCAGACAAATTTACTTCTTTCTTTTCCGTAATACTGAAGTAAGCTAGAGCTAGTGAACTGGTGATTCTTCAATCTGAAACCCTCTTCTCTAGATATCACTAAGACTTTCTCCAACTTGTATGCTAAATCTTTGTTTTACCTATTTTCTGATACTTATAGAGGGTTCCCTGGTCACCTGTCAAAAGTACTACCACCCTACTTCTCTGTCCTTTTACTTGCTTTTCTTTTTGTTTTTTATTACTGTCCAATATGTATTTGTTGATTATTTGTTAATCTCTTACTGGCACAAATAGAATACAATGACTTCTCACAGATTCTGTCTAAATGTTCCACCCTACCTTCCCTGAGGAGTGTCTTAGTTTTAAGCTTCTTCTCACATAAACAAAAGTAAGTTCTTTTATTTAAGAACTTACTTTGTAGTTTTCTTCATACGTTGAACTTCTCTGATAGTTGCTATATGAGATAGGATCTAATAAACAAATTTTAATATAAACAAGATTAGTAATTTTGTACCTACAATATATTCACATGTTTTAAGCTTAATGACTTAAAATAAGGATGGATAAAGTTTCAGACATCAGAAACAAGATAGTTTGTCAGATGCTGGGTTCTCTTCCTCCAAGACCAGTTGAGAGAAGCCTAAGAGTCTCAACCACAAGCCCCACTACTCAATCGAATAAGCATCAGCCTCACTTCTTGTGTTTTGATTACTAGTGATTCAGATCTGCCTTATTTTTCCTAAAGAAACATTTTCTTCACTGTTAGCTTATATACTGATCTTTCTGTCTAACTAGAAATTGCATCTACCTATTAGATCTTTTGTTCTATATATAATTGCTTTCATGTTTTAGCTTGGTTTTCCTTCATATTGGTTCCATTTCCCCCAACACTGCAAATATTACCATTTGTTTCCCATGCTTGCTTGGGGAAGAAATGCATGAGGAGAGGTTAAATATTTAGGGTAAACCATCTGGTCTCTTAAATCGTACAATTTGCACTTTCTATTCTTTGTAGAAAACACATTGAATGAAGATGATATGGTGCTGGCTTATGGTTTTATACCGAGTATTAATAATAAGGCTTTTTAACTCTCAGGAGAATCCTGGTTTGGATGATACATTGTATGGTCACCCTATAAAGGAAAATGTTAACACAGTGGGTTGGGTTACTCAATATTTATATAACTCTGAAGGGTCCTGGAATGATGATTGATCTTTAGTCATCCCTTGGAAATGTGGTCTTTGGATTGTTCTTTATGTCACAGACAGATGATGTTGTTTTATACACCTGGATAAACAGGGCACACTGTACTATTAGGTTATGTTGTAAATATATCTGTAAATGTTTACCAAAATTTATAATATAGATCTGGACCCTGTACTAGGTCTTGGGTATCAGTTATCACGGCTGTTAGCAGGAATGTGCCTACATGATCAATTCTTATGATCATTAACCACCCAGGCCTGGAGAATTAAGCAGAATTCAGTGGAAAGATACTTCTCTCATGGGTTCCTATAGTTTGCTGCTAGAGAGAAAGTGCATCCTATGGTACCCTATGAGTAAAGGATTTGTAAACCTGTTTTTGATGACTCTGGACTTTGCCTAATATAGATGTTTTACTTGTTGCTTTTACTCTTTTATTTTTTGTTTTTAATCATTCTGTAATAAACTCTAGCCATGTGTATAACCTGCTGCTATGTCCTATGAGTCTTTCTGGCACATTAATTAATTGAAGGTAGTTGTAGAACCCATGAAACACTCTGATGTGGCCACCATTCACTTTCTTATAGATAATGGAAGTACCGTAGGTAGATATTAGGTAATTTGCAAAATTATCTAATAGTCAGGTGACACATCAAGAGAATTTGCTGTTGTAACTTCTCTTTCAATTAGCATAATTTTTAAATGAAGTTATTCTGTTTTTTTTTTAATTTAAATGCCACCTGGATAGCTGCATCTAATGATATCTGTTTTGATTTTTAAATAAAATGCCTGTGGGTGATCTCAGGATTATCCAGCTCTACAGACCAAAGTCTGCTGAGTTTATAGGCCTTATATCTAAATGCATACTCAGTATTCTCACAGAGGTATCTGAGAGATACATCCAACCAAACAATCTCAATTCTGTATGGTAACCTGAGCTATTTTATCTCCTGTTTCCCCCAAGATTCTATTAAATAACAACAGGGAATTTTTAAAATAATGAACTTACTATAAATAGGATAATTAGACAGGACTGGCAAAATGAAACAATTTCAAAGTTTCTGGAAAACATTAAGGATGGTAGGATAAAATGAAAAAATAGAAGCTAAAATATGAGGAGAAAAAGATACAGCTGAGACAATTATCAATAATCTCTGCAAAAATACAGTAAAGTAGCACATACAGGGAGAGATGGCCATACAGAACAGGAGAAGACAGAAAACACGACAATCTGCTAAAGTCTGTACAGTTCTTTTCACTGCTTGTCCTTCAGTATTCTCATGTTCATCATGTCCAATAATTTGGCATCTAGATGAAAAAAACTAGGTTACAAACTTTACCCAATTCGTTACTTGTCTGAAGTATTTTGCTAATAGTTTTTGGACTGCTATGTTGCACATTCTTACATGTACGAAAACAAAACATTCAAGTCTGTTTTACAAACTTACTCATAAAAAATTAAAACTTAAGCCCTGCACATATACACACAATACCTATAGCTTTATGCCTAAGCCTGAATTAAAACTTAAGGCTCACTAAATATTTCCACAAAGTTTGTGCATTGCCACTTGTGATGCTAATGGAAAAAGATAGAAAAACAAACCCGCTTTAATTTAATTCTGCATTATTACCTTACAGACACAAAATAGGAAACATAGTATGAATATCATTTTCATCTCATCAGGAATTCTAGCAGCTATCCACACACATCTTTATTTCCTCCTTCCTTACCCACGCCAGATGTTCAAGCCTGCTGCAGACAAGAGGCAAGGTACATGAGTATCACCTAACGCCAAGTCTTCATGCAAACTCACATGTCCAGGGATTTGTAAAAAAAAAATCAAGAAAGATATATCTTATTATAATTTCCTATGGCTTCCAAGGGTTGAGGAAGGAAGAGAGGCAGGCCAGGCCCAAGGTCATTTTACCTAACTTGACTAGGCCAGCACAATCTTCAAAATTCCTTAGTCAAAGCCTGTATCATAAAAGAGTAGTACACACCCTCCACACCAACACACACAGATTAAAACATCATGCACACACACACAGACACACATAAAATCCTAGGTCTCAGTGAATCAGAGTTAATACATGATATAACTTACAATTATAATTGACAATATAATTTTTAAAAATACCTGAGAAGATATTTGTTCATAATACAAAATTAAGAGAAAATGTATAAATTAAGAATAATAGGAATAAGAAAAAGTGTGTAAAATTTTCATGTTTTTGCCGTAATAAATTTTTCAATGAAGGATTCTCAAGACAAAATGAGAAGTTTTAGCTAGAAAAAGTCACATGAAAATGATTAAAAAATAAGAAATATGAGAAATATTCTATAAAGTTCAGAAAAATAAAAGGGAATGAAATATTATTTAGTGCTATAAAAAACTAGCTATTAAGCCATGGATAAACATGGAAGAAACTGAAAGTGCATATTACTAAGTAAAATAAGAGAACCTTAATAGGCTACATACTGTATAATTCTAGCTATATGACATTCTGGAAAAGGAAAAACTAAAGAGACAATAAAATAATCAGTGGTTGACAAGGATTGAGAAAGGGAGGGATGAATAGAAGCACAGAAGATTTGTAGGGCAGTAAAACTATTCTGTACAACACTACAATGGTAGATACATGTCATTATACATTTGTTCAAACCCATAGATTACAGAGTACCAAGAGTGGACCTTAATGTGTAGTATGAACCTTGGGTGATAATGATGTGTCAATACAGGCTTATAAATTGTAATAAATGTACCTCTCTTGTGGGGGATATTAATGGAAGAGGCTTTGCAGATGTGTGGGCAGGAGGTACATGTGGAATCTCTATACCTTCTCTTCAGTTTTTCTGTGCACCTAAAACTGCTTTAAACAATAAAGTCTGTTTTTAAAAAAGCAACTCACAGAAAGGACTATAGTATTATGTGGACATTTACCTTGAGTAATTAGGCTATATCCAGATTATTCCCAAATCTTTTTGTCTTTGCTTTTGCTGGCATATGAAGATGAATTACCAGCACCATTGGAGTATAGTACAAAAATTTAACCAGATGAAAGATAGTAAGCTGGTCTTTTACTGTGCTATTAAATTCAAAATGACCATCAAAGTGGTCAGTAAGATCCTTTAAAGAGTCCTCAGTTTGCTGGGCACAGTGGCTCACACCTATAATCCCAGCATTTTGGGAGGCTGAGGCGAGCAGATCACGAGATCAGGAGATCGAGACCATTCTGGCTAACACGGTGAAGCCCTGTCTCCACTAAAAAAAAAAAAAAAAAAAAAAAAAAGAGTCCTCAACCACAGCAATCAAATCTGGAGATTATGAAAATGTGCAAGAAAGAGCCTGCCACATTCACTAAAGTCAAGGAATCTTTGGATAAACAGAGTCAAAGATATTCTAAGAAAAGTTTCCAAATTTTTCCTCATCTCAATCACTTCTTATAATGATGCTAAAGAGTCAGGACTTTATAGATAGGAGAAAAATAGCACAACAGTGAGGGAAAGGAATCACAGAGACGTCCTTGTGGTGATTGGTAATAATGTGAGCTAAATTCACATCTGTCAGATTAGAAACTCTAGTATGCATATGTTGCATAATATATGACACTATTCTACATGAAAAGGTGATAATAACCACATGAATTAAAACAAAATAGATACAAAATACTGCCCTGAAAACTCTGATTATATGTAACTAGTGGTGAGACAAAGGCAACTGCTTTGATTATAATCATAATACGTTTGTATTTTTCATATGCATCCTTATATTGAATACATGTGACTCTTTTTTAACCTTTATATCTGATTTTATTGTTGTCGTAATTTAAATACTTAGCAGTGACATTGTTCAACCTGTAAATTCAACTTTTGGCAGGGTTCTTCTTGTCTTTATCATCACTGAATTTATGCTACTTGAGAGTATCAATTTATCAGAGTAAAGTAGAAAAATAATTCTAAGCCAGACATGGTGGCACATGCTTGTAGTCCTAGCTACTCCAGAAGCTGAGGTTGGAAGGATCACTTGAGCCCAGGAGTTCCAGGCTGCAGTGAGCCATGATCCTGTGATTGCACTCCACCCTAGGGGACAGAGAGACCCTGTCTCAAATAAATTAAATTAAATTTTAAAATGAAAGAAGAAAAATAATTATATTCAAGTTATTTTCTAAGATTTACAGTCTCTCAGTGAATAAATCAAGAAATAGGTATAAAGATTTAGGGATTGATGCAATGGGAGTTGAGCACATTAGTAATAGCATCATTGATGATGTTTTGGTTTTCAGATGTTTTGTGTTTTTGAAGCAGGAGACAGACCAAATGGAGGGCCAGAACTTACAGATCCAGAAGTTCTCACTTTCAGATGGTAAGACAAAATGAGCTACTAATTGTCTGTTATTCAAAGATTCCACATTGACCTTACTCTAAGTGAAAATTTCTCCAAGGGTTTGCACTGTGTCTCTTGAGAGTTTTTTGATATTTTTATTTATTTTCTTTTATGGTATGTTATGTGACACTGCAGTGAGGAATACTGACCAAATGCTATTCCAATCCCAAATAAATGCCTTAATTTTTTTATCATTGTTGAATATGAATATAGTATTTGCAAATAATGATTCAAATTGTTGCACTTCACCTGCTCTATTCCTTAAATTTGCAATATCATATTCCTACCTATAACAATTTTTAAAAATAATTTATAATTAAAAATGTTTATTGTTTACAATTAGAATTGTTGATTCAGAATTTCCTACTGCTCTGAATATATCCCCAGTATATAAGACATTAAAGTTAACAACTTAGGTGAGGTCACATAAAATGTGAGTTATTTAAATAACAAAGACAAATAGAAACTAATTGTAATTAAGCCAAATGATAGATATAAGAAGGTTTGAGAAAACAATAGAGATTATGGAATGACTTAGTAGGTATTCATTACGTTTTCTGCCCATTACAATTTTATCAATGGTGATTTTATTCTTTTAAATAAAGGAATTGACATATATCTCTTTCTGTAGGGTTATAAATGTGTGCATTTGTTGGAGTGTAGAGGGCAATGTCTACAGAAATTTATTAATTTTTTTCTTATCTTTGTGGTGTAACTCATTTTAAAATTATGCTTCATATTCTTGGACATTGATGGCTAGAAAAGGCCACTAGCTAAGATTTAAACCCAATACCCTCCAAGTGTCTTGAATTTGACATTTGCAGCCAAGCTCGCTCTCAGTTTCGCTATGCTTATTAATGATCACCAGGAGTTCACAGAACCAGGTCACCCAGATGTGATCTAAAAGTTCTCTGAAATTCAAAAGTGAAGGAAGCCCATTGCTACATCTCCCTACACTTCTAAAGTACATTAAAATATGAAATAAATAAATTTAAAATAAATTATAGGTAGCTAGGGACAGGGAAAATTTTTGTTTTTGTTTTCGTGAGTTTTGAAAATCTCAAGTTCCCTCCAAGGGAATTTTCATTAAAAATGGTATTTTTCAAAGATGGGCATCAAGGACAATTGGTAGCAACACAATACATTTTCATCATATGCCATTCCCAGAATGATCAGCAACATGTTTGACAACAGAGACCCAGGTACAGTCTAGATGTCACAAGGTAGTAACATTCATTCCATATGCTGCCTCATATTTTAAATCAATAATTATTAAGGAGACATTATGCATTAGAGAAATTATCCTTGGTTCTGAAGAAGATACACGTGAGTTTGAATCTGGCTTGTATTAGCTTTAGAAGATTAGACATATAGCTTAATATCCCCGAGTTTCATTTACATTTTTCTGAATACCTAAAATAGGAACCAAAAATGTTGCTTTTTAATTTGATTTTAAATTATTTAAAAAATGAAAGTTTTTTTACTCCAGTTATGAGAGTATAAAAATGACAATCATTCAGATAAGAGCTGTTAGTTTGCAAAGCAATATACAGTTTACACAGGAATTTCATACCCATTAAAAATAAAATGTTTTTTAACAAAATCTGCATTAAATTTTTTGATTTTTTAAATTGATACAAGTACATTTTTGAGTTTTATGGAAAATATGGATATAGCAAGTTATTTAGTAGAAATAAGTCACATCAGAGTTTATTGAGATTAGGGGAGCATCATTAGACTAAGTGCTTTATATGTACCATCTTACATAATTGTGATATGCTTGTGATTGTTATACTGAACATTTTATTCATTGAAATATATTCAAATGAGTGATGATATTATTAAGCAGCTGTCTTCTGGTTTTTGTTATAAAAAAAAACTATATGTGGAGGACACATTTTGTTCTTTCCCAGCCTTCACCTTAAAATTCCATACTCTTCATATCTTCAAATTGGTATAATAGTGGAAAAATATACATATTTACACTTTATAAAATTGTTGTGTCAATTAATGTATTTATTTTCTGAGCAAATATTTGGCATTTATTTTTCTCTCAATGTATCTCAGAATAATGATGTAAATTTGTAGAGCCTCAACTCATAAGAAAACAGTTATTTTTACATACAAAACAAACTGTTTTATGCTCCCCACAGGTATGTTGGATTTTCTTTGTAATTAATTTTGCCAATTTTGATGAAAAATCCTTAAAATTTTATTTTCATATTTATTTATTTTATCTATTTTAAAATCATAATAATGATTAGATTATATTGTTACTTCTCATGCTGCTCTCTAAGGATTTTTCCATATGAAAAATTGAATAGTTTGACAATAACATCATTCCTAATTTGCAACACTAAGGATAATTTAAAAACAACTGTTGAATATCAGTATAATTTACTTATAGAAGTAGTATCTCAACAAAAAATATATGTTGTTTGGTATATTCATTTACCTAACATGCTGTTCTGAGGGAGGCTTAGTATTGTAAATGCACATTTACATATGATTTTTCAGTGATTATGTATCAAATAAGTATGTTTCTCTATATTTGTATCTGTGGGTATGATAGCCCCAGTTGAGACAGGTGCTGGCAGTCTCAGCCAACTGTTCTTCAAAGGACTATACACAGCTACTTAGAATCATAGCATCATCTTAATATTCCCAGATACTTTAATGAGTTTTCACTCTAATTAAATGTGCAACTTGCAGAGATTATTGGGTGCCAGATTGCTGTGACTGGCAACAGGCTTTCTGTGTTCAGAATCAAATTTTATATCACCTAAACACATCTATTTTTAGTAGTTTCATTATAGATGAAGTTAGGCTTTATTTCAATTAAATAACTTACAAACTAAGTAAACAATTACGATTTTCAGGAGTGCAAACAAAAACAAAGTAGAGGAAATAAAAACAATATCCACCAAGAAGGAAAACAGATGGAAGAAATAAAGTTCATCAAAGTTCAGTGTTAAAATTTCATGTTGGAATGTTAGAATACTTACGGGCGTAACACCATGGTGTGGTGGCATGTTACTTCCATCTCTAAGTGGTGATTAATTAACACCAAATATATTTTTGCTGCGGCTTTAACAAGGTTAAATGATGCCTTATGCATTGTATGGTAACTTTTGTCAGAAGTCACTTTCAAAGCATCTTTTTAGCTGCAACAATCACACATTTTAACCATAAAAATACTTAACATAAAATATATTCTGTAAGTTTTAAATTTTAGGTTATTTTGTACATTTTATTTATTTTAAAATATTCTGAGCTGGCCTGTGTTAAAAAGGGTTTACCAGTTGTTTTCTGCACACTACATTCAATGTTGTGTTAAAGATAGCCAACTAGGAACACATTCATCACTGGGACTGGGAATCTAAATAGCAACTTTAAAATACTATGCAATAGATATCATTTTTCCATATTTCTGCCTAAATGCCAAATCCATTTTTAGTTTGTCTCCTAAGCAGGAAGATAAATGTGGAAAGCAGAATAACATCTTTCCCATTGCCTCAGTGTGCTGAAAAAAGGAATCAAGGAAGAATATAGCTCATAAAGGCACAGTGTTTAGGTCAGAAAGTAGAGCTAGTGAGAAATCCACAGAGAGAGTATTCCAGGTTTATAATGTAATGGGCTGCAGGGCTTTTGCAGACTGTGAAAGAGGGAATGAAATGTTTTAGAAAGGCAATTGAAAAATATGGTATTTAAAGTGAACTTTGATCTATCTCATAAACAGATCCCTGGAGATTTTTTTATACAAATAGAAATTACGATTTCAATTTAAGATTATTGCATCTAACCACCAGGGTTAAAATAAAATGATAATACTCGGATAAGGATCAGCAAAAGTCAGTATACATTGAAAAAGGCAGATCAGAATAGATGTTTAGAGAAGAGAATTTGATTATATAAAAGTCCCATTATGTGGAATTACATTTCGTTGTATATAATTTTATATAAGCTAACTCTCTATCAGTATTTGTTTAATTGTGTGTAGTAGTAGGGACTGAGATTGTCTTAGTCCATATAATGTTGCTATAAAGGAACACATGAAGCTGCGTAATTTAAAAAGAAAAAAAAAGGTGTATTTGGCTCATGATTCTGATGTCTGGAAAAGCTCAAGATTGGCCATCCGTGCTGCTTCTACTCAGGGTGGAAGGTAGGCAAGGGATCTGGTCATCAGTGTGTGTGGAGATCACATGGTGAGAGTAGGAACGAGAGAGAGAGAGAGAAAGAGAGAGAGAAGGTGCAGGCTCTTTTGAACAACCAACAACCAACTCTCTCTGGAGAACTAATACCGTGACAACTCCCTAATCTCTCCACTGCATTAATCTACTTACGAGTGACCCACCGCATGATCCAAACACCTCTCATTAGGTCCCACTTCCAACATTGGGGATCACATTTTTTTTTTTTTTTTTTGAGATGGACGTTTGCTCTTGTTGCCCAGGCTGGAGTGCAATGGCATGATTTCGGCTCACTGCAACGTCCACTTCCTGGGTTTTCAAGCGATTCTCCTGACTCGGCCTCCCAAGTAGCTGAGATTACAGGCATGCGCCACCATACCCAGCTAATTTTGTATTTTTAGTAGACACAGGGTTTCTACATGTTGGTCAGCCTGGGAGATCACATTTTAACATGAGTTTTGGAGGGGACGAATATCCAAACTGTAGCAGATATATTTTAAAGTCATCATTTTTGTGACCCTCAAAAAATTTTGTTTTCATTTTTTGGTGTGACAGAATGATAATTTTTGTTTTCCTCTGGTGTTAATGGTCATCTAACCCTGTTAAGGTAAGAACTTTAATATAGTAATCCTTGCAAGGTATATATGAACAAAATAATTGTGTACTTGCCTTACGGGAAATTCATTCTGAAGAAATGGGAATATCCAAGCTTTTCTATATGGAGGAATGCCATGATCCACCATCACGATCATGCTTCCCTGAGAAAGGGAAAGAAAATGATATCTTAGACTCTGACCACAAGAGGTAAGAAGATGAGGCAGTTAGCTCTGGAAGATTGAGGAAAGATTCAGGTGAGAAATAAGATAAATTCATGGAGGAAAGAGAAAGAATAGAGGAGAAGGAACTTTTATCTGCTCAAGTATCGTTGAATCTTGTACTCTGAATATGTTCAAAATTGCCTATCAGAAGGCTCACGTTCTTTTCAGTAATGAGCTCTTTACTCATGTTTCAGGTAAGGCTGCAGCTAACAATCCCAGACAGCACTATATTTTAAAGGATTCATAATACACAGTCCTGCATCTTATTTTTCTCCTCTTCCTCTTCTGAGAATATTAAATAAGGTAATCAAAATATGTGAAAGAATAGATTCATATTTGGATTTTATTCTCAGTGAATGTACAAAACAAAGAAGGTTCTAAACACTAGAAATAAAAACAGCTGCCCTTTATTCAGCATCTACTAAGTTTAAAACACTGTTCTGGGTGATTTATACTTGTTATTTATTTACTGCTTAATATTTCTCTAGGAGTTTGTATTATTTTGCCAATTTTCCTAAGTAGGAAAGCTCAGAGCTACCCAAGTTTACTCAGCTGGAAAGCCATAGAGATTGAAATTTGACTGAGGTTTTTCTAACTCCAAAGCCCCTTCTGTTACCACACAAACACACACACATACACACGTATACACATATATACAAATCCAAATTGAACACTGTCTCTGCCCTACTGGAGCTTAGAGCATCATCTTTTAAAATTAAGACATATATATTTTTAAGTAGCATACATCACATAATGTTATGTTTTATTTTGCAATACAAACAAACTTGCTAAAGCTCCTAAACCTGCTCCTTTTGAATTCTTAAATTTCTTCTGTATTAGCAAACAGAAAGGCCACCTTTTCTTCCTTTAACTAATATTAACTAATTATTCTAAAATTTTTGCTGTTCATGAAAGTTCCTTTTCTGTTGTTTTTTTTTTCCCCTCATCTCCTTGAACACTACATTCTCCTGGATTTTCCCCTACCTCCTGGGACCTTCCTTTTCTTTAGTTTTTGCCGCTTCATCTTATAATATTATTCTCAAGGCTCTGTCCTTGTCCTATACCTCTCCTACGAGGTAACCAATTGTTGGTCAACCACATCTATTTTCCAAGCTTCATCTGATGAACCAAATGTCTTTAGCAAAAATATCTATTGAAAAGTATTTCATTCAACATTTATTTCTTCAGTAATTTTTTACTAAGTTACTATTGTATGACAGGCACAGTTTTTGGGTCTGGGAACACAGTAGTCAACAAAACATATCAAGTGCCTTCTCTCAAGCATTTTGGATGTCCCATCAATATCTCAAACTCATTTTGCCACAAACCAGACTCTTTGTCACTTCCTATGAAAATACATTTTTCGAACGCTCTATCTGAGTGACTAATTCATTCATATTCTTAAGTTAGAATCTTGGAGTCGCCGCATCTCTGCATTTACACACTCTATCATGTCAATAAATGCTACAGGTTTTGACACTCATTATCTCATAAATCCTTTTCTCCCTTTCTACTCTCATAGCCCAGCTCACCACTTCTCATGGGATTCATCAGGAAAAGCCTCAAACTTTTTTTCTACCTACTTTGTAATCTATTTTCTACACTACTTCTCAAATGACCTTTCTAAAAAGCAAATTTGGTCAGCACACTCCACTGCTCAAAATCCCTGAGTGCATTCCCAAAACAGCTTAGTGAACAAAACTTTGTCTCATTTACTCTTGTCATATTAATTTTTTACTTATGTACAGTCTTATATGCAATTCTTATATAAAATCTACAAACTGAATAGTGCAATTTCTTACTTCTGTATATTCATGCATTTAATATTTGTCAGTTCTGACACTGTTGATTTTGGAGAGCTTTCTGTGGATCTATCTTGATTTATTAGAGAACTTTCTGACATGCTTCCTTTTGTATTCAGTGCATCTCTAAAATGCACTGAAGTTTAACTGATTTCCTTAATTATTTTTCAATCTGAATCATGAGTGTGTTAAATACATTTGAGCTCTACTTACTTTCCAACCCCGTCACACTGCCTGGGCCATGAAAGGCACTCAACTCATACTTACTATGGTGGTGAAGAAACAACCGTATACCAGACCTATGTGGCCTGAGGTTAAAGGTTTTATGTGGGAGTGGAATAGACTTGGCATTGAAGTACATATACTGTTTGCATTTGGTGTTGAAGAAAGAAGCTTTTGGTAAAAGCAACATCATGTAAAAAGTGACAGACAAGTAAAATGTACTGAGGAAAGAGACTAACCTTTTGGAAAGACGGGGTGTCAGTAGCTAGCTAGCCTGAACTGTGCACTGGGATTGATAAGTGGTATCTAATGTAACAAAAATTTGTGGAGCTCCCTTCCTTCCCTCCATCCTTTCATCCTTTCTTTTTCTTTTTTCCTTAAGGTTCTTTCCTTTTTTTATTTCCAGGCACCACATAATACTATTGAAGGTGCAAAGTTTATTCATTCATTGATATCAGAAGTTGTCAGTACCTATGGAGTCCTTTTTTTTCCCGGAGCCATGTTTTCTTTCCATTAGACATGTGCACATATTTGTTTACTTTCTCATCTTTTCACACAAATGTAATCTTTACATAGAAACTAAAACGTGGGTCTTGCTATTTATCCTCCCTCATTCTGCTCTACCGTTACATCTAATGAATAAAATCTGGAATTCAGACCCCATGGACTCCTGTTTTAGTTTCCTCTTGTCTGTTATGTGGATTAAAACTTTAACTTGCTTATCAGAGGTTCTTGGTTTGAACCTGTGTTTTGAGACTATCTGTTACACATGGTGTCCTCTCTAAGACTGTTTCCTATCTTTCTCCTCTCCTCTGTGTACAACCTCATGGAACATGTAGAAAACTTGTACAGCATGCTGACTAAGGGCATGGTCTGTGGAACCAGACTAGTTGGCTTGGAATAGTGGTTCTGCTCCCTACATACTGTGTTAAGTAGATTACTTAACATTTTTTGTGTTTCAGCAACTAAATAGAAATAGGAATAAAATATGATTTGCATAGAGTAATCATGAGATTTAAAATATTTAATATGTATAAAGCATTTAAAAAGACAGTAATAACTAATAAATTTTATATTATACTATTCCTCTGAAATATCACCTCCTGCTAATAACAGATACACACAATGTATATAGGTGTATGTATGTACGTATATACACACACATACATACATGCATATATATACATGTATTTTAACATGTAGTTTACTTAAACACTTGAAATTTTGTATACAGGGCTTGGTGCCTCTCCCTATGTTTGTCTTCTATTTAAATAAGCTATGAATATTTATTTTTTTCTTAAATGGTCTTTACATTTTATTGCTCATTAGTTGATTGCCAGTGTAGTTGCATTTTTTCTTTTCATCATCATGAGTGACAGGATGTCAAGTTGAAGCATTTTAATGCCAATGAAAATGGTAAATTATGTATCTTGATGACTAACAAAACCTTAATCAACAATGTGGAAAAGTTTATGTGCATTCTATTGACATTCATTGGCACTCTCTGATATCCTTACATAATTAAGCATATATATATATATATACTTAACACTTAACACTCTCTCCCTCTCCTTCTCTCTTTCTTTCTCCATATATATGTGTGTGTGTGTGTGTGTGTGTGTGTGTGTGTGTAACTTTAAAACTTAATTATTGGTCAAGGTTTAAAATTTTTGTCAGTTTGAATTTATATTTTTTGAAAGTAAATAGTTCTTATCTTTTTTGAATACCTGATTTTAAACATTGTATAGAAATATAATAATATTTTAATCTTCTTTTTGAAGCAACTTATTTGTCAAGTCAGAGAAGCTACTAGTAATAGCTATTTAATCTGTGATGTCAATAATCACATCAAATGTAAATGGTCTAAATGTTCCAAAATATTGTATGAATTGTTATAGCCTGAAATTTTGACTTTAGAAAGATGTTTCTTCACCCAACACTTACAAAGCTGGGCAAGGGTGCAGTGATATATCATTTAAAATAAAACAAAATTGAGAATACTGAAAAGTTGAATGTTTGTGAGAAAGACCAGATATTTTGGGCAAATAATAGGGAAAATAATGACTAACTTCTGTGGATATAATACTACTTGATAGAATTGCTCAAATTATTTGGGATTTCTGGTTTTTAAAAGTTGATTTGGAATTATTTTAAAATACAAAACATTTAGACTTTTTAAAACTTTTTAAAATAAAATTATTATCCTTGTTTGGTTATTTTGTTTTTACTCTATATTTTTGAGCATAAACTTATATTTTTATAAATGTTTATCTTTCTCGTTTTAGTGTCTTCATGGCTATATGGCTTATATGTAATGCTTAAGCCTTGTTAACTTATTTCTGTGTAGAAGAGATGGTCAAGCTTAATTTTATCATTTTCAGTAGGTTGTATGACATTTGTACCAACATGTTATATTGAAAACCAATCATTCCAAGACTGACATATATTTGTGTGTGTCTATTTGTGTGTTTGTATGTGGCTGTGTATAATATGAATTACAAAATCATATTTATTATATAATGCTAAATTCACGTCAGTAGTTACTGACACTACATACTACTATCTATTTCTTCAAATTTTTATAATTTCTGTTTATTCCCTCTATCTATTCATTTCAATACCAATATCAAACTTCTGTGATTTTTATAGCATGTATACATATAATGCTATATTTCAAATTATCTTTCTCACATTCAACAATTTGTGTGCTTTGAATTGCTTCACAAAATAACACTATTCTTGCCAACATTTAGCGTATCTTTGAACATACATTTCTTTAATTTTCAATATAATACTTTGGCAGACTGCATTTTCCCAAGATGACTGCAACATTATCTCTCCTCGAACATGTTTTTATTTCTAGTATCCTGTTACTCTTCATCATGAAATATTGTATAATCCTCATCCCCTTAAATTTGAATGGGTTTTAATAATAATTCGTGACCAACAGAATGTATCAGAAGGCATGCTCTATAACTTTCAGTCATGGATCATGAAAAATGATGCAGATTTTGTCTTTTCAGCTGAAATACTGGGATACTCAAGTTTTGAAGGCTTCATGTGTCATGTAAACATACTAGTGGCTATTATATCACCCTGCTGTTAGAAACACTAAATTAGCATTCCATGGAGAAAAGAGACATTGGGCTAACCACTTGCGCATCCAGCATCCAAACCCCAGCAATATGCCAGCCTCAGCCATTGTTTGACTGAATCTACATAAGCACCTAAGGACGGAACCACAAAAGTGAACATTTTTTGAATCCTGGATCCAGAAAAACAACGAGAGTTAATAAAATAAATGTTTTGTTTCAAGTCACTAAATTTTTAGGTAATTTTTAGGTACACCAATACCTAAGTGGAACAGAAATGCAATACTTGGAAGTAGGGATCTGATGTAACAGAAACATACAAAATGTGGCTTCGTCTTTGAAACCAAATGGTTGGTGAATGTTAAAAAAGACTTGAGGATACTGGTGGTAAACACTTGAAGGTCAGAGATGAAAGTGTATGAGACAAGAAATAAAATAAGACTTTAAAAATATTTATAGTGTTTTCTTATCAGTTATCAGGGTAAGAAGTTGATGTAATAATTATCTCTGATGTTAATCAATGGATGGTTTCATACACACTGTAATTTAATTTTAAATATTTTTATTGAGATATAATTTATATACCATATATTTGCCAATTTTCAAGTGCACAATTTAATAGTATTTGCATATTTGCAGAGTTTTGCAAATGTCACAATAATCTTAGTACATTTTCATCACTCTTAAAGAGATCCTATAGCCACTAACAGTCACTCTCTATTTCCTACCCCCAGCCTTAGGCAACCACTAATCTACATTCTATACTTACTGATTTGCCTATACTGAATATTTTATGTGAATAAAATAATATAATATGTGGTGTTTTACACTTGACTTCTTTGCAATAGAGCTTTAATATTGGCCCATATTGTAGCACCAGTACTTCAATCCATTTTAACGTCAAAAATAATTTGTTGTATAGTTATACTGCATTTTCCTTATCCATTCTTCAATTGAAGGGCATTTTGGTTAATTTTACTCTTGGGCCACTGTAAATAAATCTGTATTAATAGATATGTCTCATGTATGTGATAACTCTGCGTTTGTCAGTAACTGTCATCTCTTTTCCAAAGTGGCTGCTCCATGTTATAATCCCAACACCAGTGTCTAAGTGTTCGAATTTCTCTGTTTCCTTGCTAAATTAGTAATTGTGAGCCCTTCAACTTGTAATTATTTTTAAGATTATTTTGAATCTGGGACCATTGCATTTCAAAATGAATTTAAGAGTCAGCTTGTTAAGTTCTGCAGAAAAAAAAAAAAGTAAAGAAGAAGAAGAAAAAAGAGAAAGTTTTTACAGGGATTGAATCTGTATATTAACAACGTTACGCCCTCCAATCAATGAATATTGGTACTTTCCAGTTATTTAAATCTTAAATGTTCCCTGCCTGATAGTGCCACAGTGGGTGCAACCTGGGCCATGTACATAATCTTCCTGAGCTTCAGAGATAACAATGGTTTTAGCTGGTTCTGTTGGACTGCTTATTTCCTGATGTCCCCATTAAGCTTTTGGCTGGTCTGTCTCTATTAGTATTACACTCAGATTTTTGCCTCTATTAATTAATTGCCAACAAATGACTGTATTCTTTTCAAAAACATCCCAGGATGTTCCATATGTTGTTTCAGTCTGACCCCCCAAAAAATGAGCCTCTTGGCAGGGATAGAGTGTTGCTATGCTTTGATAGTTGTTATGGTCCTCCCTTGGACATCAGCTATGCACTATGAAGGTTTAGTTTGGATTAAATTTGCATCATAGATTTCTACAATGCAGGAGAAAAATACACCACCCACACTGATATTTCCTTCCTTCAAATAAAAGATTGAAAGTTATTATAGTTACATGCATTCAGTTTTATGCATACTAACGTTTTGATAATAACTTGAAGATTTAGTTTACTTCTTATCCACGATATTTTGCAGTTAATATTTTAAATATCTAAGTATTTTAATTTACCTTATAATTTGCAGTTCTGAAATTTAAACAGAGTTTAAAAAGAAATGTTGCATTCTCTTATGTTCATATTCACTATCATATCTTTTAAAAGGAAATTATTCTAATCCCAAATTTATTCAATACCCAAGGGTTTTTAAAAAATTCTTTTCAACAGAAAAAGTAGTATCTTCACAACAAGAACAGTTGGATTGACAGACTGGAATGAGATTTGTTGTATGTCTGATAAAGAATCAGGAAAGTCATGATAATTTCAGAAAACTAATAACTAGACCTGAGGACTAACCCTCAGAATAGTAAAGATTTTATATTTGTTAAACAACTTTGGAGCAAATTTTTCTTAAATTTCTACTACATAGTGTGTATATTCTGCTTAAGCATGTGCATTTTTGTGAAATTTAATTTAAATCATATTAATATGTCTACAAAATAACTTCTACAGAAAATATTTTATGGGAGTTAATAATTGGTTTATGTTTTACCAATCTTAGAATATATGTTTATTGTGGTATATCATATATGAATCCAAGCAGAAATAAATGTAATTTAATAATGTACTTTTAATAATTATAAAATTGAAAATACACTCATTTAGAAACCATTGCCCAGAGAGTATACTGTTACCCATCCATGGGAGAAATTTAATTCAGTAATTTCAAGAACTTGACTTTCTATGCTTTATTATCTACACAACAGTTGGAGTGATCTTTAAAAGCAAACAAGTATGTCATATCATTCCATAGCTATAATAATTAAAATGATGTCTGACTATTATTATAATAAAAAACCAAACTTACATCATTCATTGAAGTCCTGTATATAATCTGGGCCCTGGATCCTTCACTCTATAGTTTATTTGTTTCTTGAACAAAACATATTTGAAATAATATAACATAATGCCTATAAGCATGCAAATTATGAATATGAGTTTCATTGCTTCATAGCTGCATTTCCTTAGCAACACATTTATAATCTTTAAAGATAGTAATGCTATCTACTTTGTAGACTTCTTGCAAGGATTAAATCAAATAATACATTTAAAATATTTAGTGTCTGGCTCACAGTTTGTGCTGAGTAAATATAGGCTATTTTTATTATGACGGTTTTTATTTCAGAGGCTTTGCAACTCTTTACTCTTACTGGAATGCTCTCCCCATACAACAGCTTTTTATAAGGCTGTTTCTTTCTCATACTGCGTAACTCAACACAAATTTCATAGTTTCAGAAAAGCCTGTCTGAAAAACACACAAAATCAGTCACTTACCCAACTCATACTATATCCCGTCATTATATTTTATCTTTTCATGGCAGTTATATTTATGAATAAATATTTAATATTGGCACATACTGGTTTAATTATATCCAATACAATGTAAACTCCATAAATTCAGGGACTTTGTCAATCTCATGGGTTGATTTCTCTACAAAAGCTGAGAGGCTCTTATGTATAATAGGTCTCAAAGAATAAATAATTAATACATATGTATGTCAAAACAAAAGCATAAGTTCCAAACAATATCCATTGTAAAAAAGACATTTATCAAATTTATATATTGTGCTTAAAGAAAAATATAAAACATTTTGTCTCAGTGTCTCTACCACAACATATTTTATCAACAGCAACAATTCGATGGTAAATTCAGTGTTTAATTTTTATTTCTCTTCTGAGTCCTCTAAAGCTTTAACAGTGACCACTGCCTCCTCCTTAAAACACATCCTTGATTTGGATTCCAAAACATTATGGTCTCCTAGATTCCTTCCTACTTTGCAATTTGCTTTTTCTTGGTCAACTTGGCTGGCTCCTCTTCTACCTCCATGTCTCTCAGTGGAAAATTGACCTCTTGGTTCTTTTCTCTTCAGTCTCCTGTCACTTCCTTGATGATCTCATAAAGAGTCATGACTTTAAGTGTCACTGAAAATTCCAAAATTTTTATCCCCAGCCATGCTCTTTTCCCTGGAATCTTAATTTGAATGTTTGTTTATGTGGCATCTAGTTTAGAATTTCTAATAGACATCTCCAAATTAACATGTCCCCAAATTGTTGTACTCTCAACCCTCCAAACTACTCCGTCTGTAGTCTCCGCCTTTCTCCATGTTGATCTGGTAAGAATCCTTGATTGTATCTGTGAGTTTCTCCTTTCTCTCAGACCCTGAGGGCAATGCACATGAAAATTCTGTTCTGTCTTGTCTTCAAAACATACTACCACATCAACCTCTAATACTCTTGTCCAAGACTCCATCTGATCTTATTTAGAAATATTGCTATACCTTTATAATTGGTCTCCCTGCTTCCATTCTTACTTTCCCTTCCAGAAATGCACAGTTTACTCTCAATACAAGATCTAGAATGACACTGACACTTATAATGGGTAAGAGGTATCATGTCACTTCTCTTGTTTGCTTTTTTTTAAATCTCATTGAACATTAAAAACAAGCAAACAAACAAAAAACACTTGGCATTTTACGTGGTTTGGGTTGTGGGTTGCAGTAGCCATGGATTAAGTTGTAAAGCCTAAAGTAATAAGAACAAAGAAATTCCTTGAGAAGAGAGAACTGAAATTCAGTGAAAATATTAAAAATGCCATGTTGATTAAAGAGGAGAATGCAACTGCAACAGTGACACAAGTACTTAGAGATGTGTATGCTTTGAAAAATCTATGTGGCTTTTTGTACAAAAAGAAAAATATTATAAGACTGTTCTAGAATCAGATATCACTGGAATTCTTCAAAGAAGTCAGATTGTTCCTTATTCACATACGGCTCCCATAATAAGAAATGAACAAATAATCTAATAAGAGATCACATGTATGGCTATCTTTTGCTAGATATGATAGAATTAGGCTTTGAGAAATTTGTCTCATTAATAGACATTAAGAACAGTAAATGCCCTGAGAAAACAAAACCCATGATAATATTTGCTGGTGAGGATTTTGTTGTAAAAGAAGACTATAAGGCTAAAGAGTCTTCTTACTGATTTCTTCAGCAGCCCAGGAGTATCAAATAGCCTCCCAACTGGATCAGAGTATGTTTTACACTTCACCACTCAGTAAGGGAAGATTTATTTTCGAAGCTATGAGTTACTGCTGAAGAAATCTGTTGCAGAATACCACAGATTGAAGTGGAGATATGGAAACCTCATTGGATCGGGTTCCGAGGAGGACACACCTGGCATCAGATGAACTTTATAAATTATCTATGCAAATGCCAACAACTTTCAAGCCAAAGAGGAAGAAAATTATCTCCCATGATACTTTTGGTATAATTTGTGGAAGGATTCACATGCAGAAGTAAGGCCTAAGCAAACTACAGACTGGGGAAATGAGGGGTTTGATGTGAACTGAAGAAAATAGAAGACCATGAGAAAAAAAACAAAGAGAATTTTTAAAAATAATAAAACTTAGCCAACACACCAACAGCAATCAAACCACAAAAGCAAAAATTTATAGTACTCTACAAGACCCCATATAATATTTCTCTTTTTCCCTCTGATCTTATATTTTGCTTTTCTCACCCTTGTTCTCTCCATGCAGGCCACTTGGTATTTTCTCTGCACCACAGAAAAGCCAGGTATGCTCCTAACTCACAGTGTGTGTACTTGCTGATCCCTCTGTGTGGAATACTTTTCTGTCAGATAACTTCATGGCTCCTTCCTGCACTTCCTTGGATTTTCTTCAAATGTTTCCTTTACAGTTAGGCTTTTCCTGACTACTCTCTTTAAAACTGTAATCCCAAACTCTACCTGGCACACCCAATTTATGTTCTCAGGTTTATTTAAAAAAAAACAACAAGTTTTATTGATTTGACAACTACCCATTTATTTCATTTTTAAATTTTCTGTCTTTTCTCAGTAGATAGAGGATAATTTAAATCTTATTTTTTAATTGCTGTATTTTTATAGGAGGACAGAGTTAAAGTAGCTAGTCTGTGATCCATTCATTTCCTTTATTTTCCAGAGAAAGTGAGCTCCTTTTAATTGAAATTTTAGATAAATAGACTAATGATATTTGCTATAAGCAAGAAATTATCTATTAAATACTTTTTCTAGGATGCCTTGGTTGCAGGATTCCTTACATCAAATCAATATAAAATCCTATGAGACATGATTCTTTGAAGAATGTTATGAAAATGAAACAGGATTTGAGGTATAAATTGATATTTCTCATCATTTAAATGCTCACTGCAATGTGAATAATTACATAAACCTCACATAAAAAACTGATTTATTAATCTGAGCCAGATATGTATGCCCTATGCAAGAAAAGGATCTGGAGAATGCTAGAGACCCTAGGAGACCCTAGACAGGTCTCAGAGGTCTGTCTCTGCTTCATGAGACACTTTTAGTTGTCTACATTCTTGAAATTGTTAATAAACATTGAAACTGGCTGAGCTTATACGATGTGAATATAATTCAACAATTCCATGTTATGTCACCTCACCAAGCACTTTAAACAGTGCCTGAAATATTATGATTTATGAATATTAGGTGTATGAATAAATAACTAGATTGTCCTCACAGTACTCTCACAAAAATATTGAGTTTTTGAATTTTAATATCATTAGGTAACCACTTTTGTTTAAAATGATAAATATTGTAGATGTAGAACTGTATTTAATAAAACGAGAGAGCAGAGCTCTTTCTTTTTATAGAGATTTACTACTGTTTTTTGTTTCAATTTCATTTAGTTCTGCTCTGATCCTGTCATTTGTTTTCTTCTGCTGGGTTTTAGTTTGGATTGTTCTTGTTTCTCCACGTCTGTGAGGTGTGACCTTAGATTGTCTATTGTGCTCTTTCAGACTTTTTGATGCAGGCATTTAATGCCATAAACTTTCCTCTTAGCACCACTTTTACCGTATTCCAGAAATTTTGATAGGCTGTGTCACTATTATTGTTCAGTTCAAAGCATCTTTAAATTTCTATCTTGATTTCATTGTTGACCCCAAAATCATTCAGGAGCAGGTTATTTAATTCCCATGTATTTGCATGGTTTTGAGTGTGCCTTTTGGAGTTGATTTCCAATTTTATTCCACTGTCATCTGAGACAGTACTCAATTGTTTCTTTGTTGACTTTCTGTCTTGAAGACCTGTCTAGTGCTCTCAGTGGAGTATTAAAGTCCCCAACTATTACTGTGTTGCTCTCTATCTCATTTCTTAATTCTAGTAGTAATTGTTTCATAAATTTGGAAGCTCCAGTGTTAGGTGCATATATATTTAGAAATGTGATATTTTCCTGTTGGACTAATCTTTTTACATAATGATAATTATATAATGTCCCTGTTTGTCTTTTTTAGCTGCTGTTGTTTTAAAGTTTGGTTTGTCTGATATAAGAATACCTACTCCTGCTCACTTTTGGTGTCCATTTGCATGGAATATCTTTTCCACTCCTTTACCTTATGTTTATGTGAGTCCTTATGCATTACGTGAGCCTCCCAAAGACAGCAGACACTTGATTGGCAAATTCTTATCCATTCTGCCATTTTGTATCTTTTAACTGGAGGATTTAGGCCATTTACATTCAATGTTAGTATTGAGATGTGAGGTGCTATTCTATTCATTGTGCTATTTGTTACATGAATACCTTGGTTTTTTTTGTTTTTATTTTTTTCATTGTGTTATTGTTATAGATGTCTTGTGAGACTTTAAGGAGATTCTATTTTGGTGTATTTCAAAGATTTGTTTCAAGATTCAGAGCTCCTTTTAGCAGTTCTTGTAAGTGCTAGCTTGGTAGTGGTGAATTCTCTCAGCATTTGTTTGTCTGTATACAAAATTCATGGTTGATAATTGTTTTGTTTAAGGAGGCTAAAAATAGAACCCAAATCCCTTATAGCTTGTAGTGTTTTTGCTGAGAAATCTGCAGTTAATCTGATAGGTTTTCCTTTATAGGTTATCTGATGCTTTTGCCTCCCAGCTCTTAAGATTCTTTCCTTCATCTTGACTTTAGATGACCTGATGAGTATGTACCTAGGTGATGATCTTTTATGATGAATTTCCCAGGTGTTCTTTAAGCTTCTTGTATTTGAATGTCCAGATCTTTAGCAAGGCTGGGAAAGTTTTCATCAATTATTCCCTCAAATATATTTTCCAAACTCTTAGGTTTTTCTTCTTCCTCTGGAACACCAATTATTCTTAGGTTTGGATGCTTAACATAGTCCCAAATTTCTTGGAGGCTTTGTTCATTTTTAAAATTACTTTTTCTTTGTCTTTGATGGATAGGATTAATCTGAAAACCTTGTCTTCAAGCTCTGAATTTTTTTCTTCTCCTTGCTTGATTCTATTGTCTAGATTTTCAAGTGCATTTTGCATTTCTCTGTGTCCTTAATTTCCAGAAGTTGCTATTTTTAAAAAATTTATGCTGTATTTCACTGAAGAACTTTTCTTTCTTATTCTGAATTATGTTTTTAATTTATTTAAGTTGAGCTTCACCTTTCCCTGGTGCCTCCTTGATTAGCTGAATAATCTACCTGAATTCTTTTTTTGGCAATTCAGAGATTTCTTCTTGACTTAGACCCATTGCTGGCAAACCGGTATGATCTTTTGGGGGTGTTGAAGAACCTTGTTTTGTCATATTACCAGAATTGTTTTTCTGTTTGCCTCTCATTTGGGTAGACTATGTCAGAGGGAATATCTGGTATTCAAGGGCTGCTGTTCAGATTCTTTTTTCCCATGGGGTGCTCCCTTGATGTGGTGTTCTCCCACTTCCCCTAGAAATGGGGCTTCCTGAGACCTGAACTGTAGTAATTGTTTTTGTTCTTCTGGGACTAGCCACCCAGTGAAGCTACCAGTACTCCACTACTGGGGAGTGTCTACAAACAGTCCTGTGATGTGATCCATCTGTAGCAGGGGAATGAAGTAGACTCTCTGAGGGTCTTGGTTGTGTTTCTGTTTAGTGTGCTGATTTTGTATTGGTTGGCCTCCAGCCAGAAGGTGACACTTTCAAGAAGAGTGCATCAGCTATGGTCCTATTGGGAGGATGGAAACTTGCCCTAGGGACACCTGGTTAAGTATTTAGGATTCTCAGATGGTTGGCAGGGCCATAGAGCTCCTAAGATATTATGACCTTTGTCTTTGGCTACCAAGGTGTGTAGAGAAAGACCACCAGGTAGGGGCAAGGATAGGTGTGTCTGAGCTCAGCTATTCCTTGGGTCTGGGTTGCTGTGGCTGCTGTGGGGAATGGGGGTGTGGTTCCCAATCCAATGGAATTATATTCCAAGGGGGATTATGGCTACCTCTGCTGAGTCATACGGTTTGCCTGGGAAGTGGGGGAAAGCCAGCAGTCATTGGCCTCACCCCACTCCCATACAGCTGGCAGTCCTAAAGGCAGGTCTCACTCCCACTGTGCCCCCTAAACAGTACCCAGTCAATTTCCAGGCAGCTGGTGACCAGGACTGAGAACTTGCCCAAGACCACAACCCTCCCTGTTGAGAGACCAAGAGAACTCACAGTTTTTTGGTGTCTTGAGGAGCCTGCAGTGGTGATCCAGTTCCTTCAAAAGGTCTGTGGATTTCTCTTCGTTTTTATATAGATTTACTAAATTAGAGCAAAAGAAATGATATCATGTAGCTAATATTTATTAAAGTTGTTGGTAAAATTAATCCCCTGTGATAAACATACATTAAAATTTTAAGTCAATAAAAGCATCTTCCTTTAATAAATGATCTGCTTTGTCAACAAGTTTTTGTTTAATCTTCCTTTCAAGTATACATGTCAATAACCTTTGGAAATACTCAAATAAATTTTTCAGTATTTTAGGAATGTCCATTGTCCTTCCTAACAAGTAGACTTATATGGGAATTCAAATTTATGATGAAATATTAGAGAAAGTACACAGTTAATGTAAAATTAGGATATTGGTTATGTAAATATTTGATAATTTAGTGCTCTAATCCATAGTTAGCTGAGTTGTCTTTCAAGACCTGTACAAAAGAGTTCTATTTTTTTTAATTCTTATCTGAAAACTCAATTTGATAGTAAACTTTCTTAATTAGGTTTTAACGAAGAACATGAAACATGTATCTTTTTACTCCCCATTTATTATTCAGTGCTTCTTTTTGCATTACTCCAGCCTTTAACTTGAACCTATGTGAGTCATTGTTTTTTGAAACTTTTTCAATTCTGTTTTAAATTCATATTGAAGTTTCCTTGTCTAACACATTACTAAAATAAGTATTATTTCTTTCTAATGGCACAGTTGAAGAAATATTTTGACAGCACCATTGCTACAAATTACATATTAAGGAAAGATTTGTGTTTATTAACTTTCATGCTGAAAAAAAGCAGAGAATAGGCAAGAATAATGAATATATTTGTCCATTGCAGCCTCTCAATTTTGTTATATCTTTTAAGACTTTTGAGGAAAGTTGTGTAACTGAATATGTCTAGCAATAGATATCTTGGACTTAAAAGGTATTTAAAAAATAAGAGTTTCTGGCTGGGCGCGGTGGCTCACGCCTGTAATCCCAGCACTTTGGGAGGCCGAGGCGGGCGGATCACGAGGTCAGGAGATCGAGACCATCCCAGCTAAAACGGTGAAACCCCGTCTCTACTAAAAATACAAAAAATTAGCCGGGCGTAGTGGCGGGCGCCTGTAGTCCCAGCTACTTGGGAGGCTGAGGCGGGAGAATGGCGTGAACCCGGGAGGCGGAGCTTGCAGTGAGCCGAGATCCCGCCACTGCACTCCAGCCTGGGCGACAGAGCGAGACTCCGTCTCAAAAAAAAAAAAAAAAAAAAAAAAAAAATAAGAGTTTCCTAGGAAGATGACTGTACTTTAAAATTTTTAGCTTTATGCATGATATTGCATATGCTAAGCCTTTACCATGAAAGAATATCATAATCAGCTAAGTGTTTGCCACTTCTGATGGTGCACAAGCTCCTTGAAATCCGTGTATCTCTTTCTGATATGTGTCAAACACTTAGCTGATTTCAAGGAACTAACTGTTAGCTCCCAACAGAAGTCTACCATCTGAAGTCCAACTACCATCAGAAGTTGAATTGTTTTTCTGTTTACCTCTCATTTGGGTAGACTGTCAGAGGGAATATCTGGTATTCAAGGGCTGCTGTTCAGATTTTTTTTTGGAATGCAGGAAGAGTAATACAGAACTTAGCTATGGCATTTTACTATAGAGTTGAGTAGGGAAATATTACTGTGGTCCCTGTGCCTCAATTTAAGTGATTTCCCTTCTTGGATCCAAATCTTGGCACTGTTTTGCGGGTGCTTAAAAGGCTATTCTGTAGAGTTTGTTGTATGCTTTAATAGGGTTCTTAACACAAAATATTTATGAATTATAACATTTTAGTAACATTGCAACTTAGTATGAAATTTATCCTTGACTTTAGTAATGTGTTCATGGGCAAGACGTTGTGAGTCTGAAAAATTGTAAGGTTCCTGTTGATAGAAAATATAACAAAAAATATGCAAAAGTTTGCATTTGCCTATTTGACATAAATAAAATGTACACCTGAACATTGTTCTTTCACAAAATTAATATTATATATGTGATACAAAAAAGAAATAATTTGTATTTTAAACTTTACTAAGGGGCCAGTTTTGGTTTTACAAATAGTGAGTTCTTACGTCTTTCTATGCAAACTATCATAATTTGGCCAGTGGGAGCACATTTAAGATGACTGTCATGCCCTGTTAATAAATTGTATAAAATTTAAAAAATCTTATTTTTTTCCTGGAAAAAAAAAGCCATATGTCATATAACCACTATGTACCTTTCCTAAGCCAGCTATAGAAACAGACATGCATCAAATAAACCTGCAATTCCTCTTAGCAGAAAAGGATATTAGTAATTATAATCTTAGCCATAGTAATTATTTGAAATTTGGAATCGTGAAGTGGCTTTGTTTTGGGGAAATTAATAGAATAGTGGTTAAGAAAATAAACTTTGAAATCAAGTATTCGTTTTGATATTTTTACAGTTACTCTCCAGCACTACTTCATAATGTTCTTAAGCATATATATGTACTTAAATATAACTATATATCTAGGGATTTTCTACATATTTTGCTCATTTAATGTGATTGTTGTTATAACTAAAATGAAATTAGAATTCATTTAAAAATATAGATTTTTAAAGGTGAAATAAAATGTTTATTTTAATTGGGGAACAACTATTTCTGTCAAATCTAAAAGCAACAGAAAATATAATGTACATGTTTCTTAAGTATACAATATAGATGTTTTCAATTTTATTTTTATCAGCATTCTGTTGCAATAAGAGAAGATTTCAATTTAATTATTTGCCTTCAGGGGTTATCAGACTTTCACAATAGTAGCATATATATCTATACCTATAGTGAAAACAAATAATATATTTATACTAGATCTTAGCCAAAAGGCTGAGAAGTGATCCAAATAATATATTTAAATTACAATGTTATGATTTGCTAAATAACATGTTTAAATTAGAATAGTATGTTTTAAAATCATAGGCTAAATTAATCAAATTATATTAAACACTCTAAAATACAATACAGAAAAATCTTACTGTTTTAGTGTTGAACCATATGAAAAAGTTTCTACAATGATATACCTAAGTATAGAACACAAGGTGATGGTCTGAGATGCAGGCTTATTTCTTATAAATTCTCCTCTAGATAGCTAAGAATTAGGCCTAGCCAACCTGAACACAGTGCCTATTGCCTGAGAAGTTGTTCTAATTTAACTTTGAAGACACTAGGAAAGACATCTAGATTTAAAACATATTTCAAAATAAATGAGAAAACTATTTAAAGAATCATAACTTTCTGAAATTATACTTTTTTTTGCTCTTTGATTTTTCTGAGCCAAATTATAGATTGAGTTTATTCATATGAATATCTACAAAAACATACGTATATAGGCACATTAATGTTATTGCACCTATGTGTGTAACTTTTATTTAACTGTCAGCTTTATATAATCATTTTCTCAGAAGTGTTCTTAGGTAAGTGCAGACTGTTAATTACCTCAGTACTACTAATTATTCTAAGGATTAGAAGGTTACAAAGGGATTTCAGAAAATATGTACAACTTAGCCTCACCGTACTTGTAATATTGCTGATATTGTTTATCTCAGAAAATGTTACATATCAAAAATTAAACAAAGTTTAAAATTTCATTAGAACAATATCTTTGATCCACATGGTTTCAAAATCATCTGAATTTTATGAGCCATTTATGAAAGACAGTAGTATTTTTAAATATAATATAAGGGTTCCAAAGCCATCTTTATATTTATATAGCCTCAAATTTTAGCTTAATTCAAATGATCTGATTTACAATATTAAAGATAAGAAATATAGAAATTAAATGTTCCATTCAATTCAGCTTTTATGCAAAATCCAAATAATTTGTTGAAAAGATATATTATGCTCTTAAACAATTTTCCCTCTAGGAACGCATAGTCACCACAGAGATAAAACAATATTAAATTATCTTTAAGCTAATAGGATAAAACAAACTTACACTAAATGCCATAACATAATTTACTTTGCCAAATAATTTATTTGTAAATGTGTGTGAAGTAAATTTTGCTCGAGGTTTAATGTTTAAAATTTGTTAGTCTTCAGTTGTAACTCTGATTTCTATTCAATATTTTTGAATTAAGTGCAACCAATTTCTGATTCTTAACTATCTAACTTTAAAATATACCTTTTGCCAAAAGACAAACACAAGTACCTTCTATTTTTCTTTGTGAGTTTGTGCGCTTGTGTATATGTGTGTTGGTTATGTTTATTTGTTGAGTTTGGCATAGTTGATTACTGACTACTGATCTGCTTTGAATTAGAATATTTTTATTCTTTTATTCTGGATAAATTTGGCTTTACCTCATGGATTCTGAGGCTGTTTGAAAAAAATAATATTTCATTTGCATTTCTGCTTTTAAGAATTTAAAAAATATTACACTGGAAAATGTTTTAATTTTAGATACACTTTAAATTAATACTAAGATTGAAGTCATTCTTATTCAACTATACTTACATTAATTTAATTAGAAGAGGAATTTGTTTTCAGTATTTCTTAATACATTGTAATTAATTAACTTAAAATAGGTTTTGAAAATACTAAGAGGTCAGATATACAATAATCCAATTTATCAGTAACTTCCCAAAGTGCATTTTTTAATGAGTTACATATCAAGATAGGTTTAACACATATAATATAACCTTACCGCACCCATAAATAGTACAAAATTAAATAATACAGAAGTTTATTTTTCTCTTTAAAAAAAAAATGAACCAGGTCCGGGCGCGGTGGCTCACGCCTGTAATCCCAGCACTTTGGGAGGCCTACTCAGGTGGATCGCAAGGTCAGGAGATGAAGACCATCCTGGCTAACACAGTGAAACCCCGTCTCTACTAAAAAAATGCAAAAAAAGATTAGCCGGGCGTGGTGGCAGGTGCCTGTAGTCCCGGCTACTCGGGAGGCTGAGGCAGGAGAATGGCGTGAACCTGGGAGGCGGAGCTTGCAGTGAGCCGAGATCGTGCCACTACACTCCAGCCTGGGGAACAGAGCAAGACTCCGTCTAAAAAAAAAAAAAAAAAAAAAAAAAAAAAAAAAAAAACCGGAAGTGTCACCTCAGTCTGGAATAATGACTCCACAAAGTCATCAAGGTAGCAGGTGCCTTCTAGATCATTGCACTGTCACTCCAAGGTTTTTTCTTAGTCTTTGTGATGGTTAATATTGAATGTCAACTTGATTGGATTGAAGGATGCAAAGTAGTGTCCCTGGGTGTTCTGTGAGGGCGCTGCCAAAGGAAATTAACATATTTGAGTCGGTGAACTGGGAGAGGCTGACCTACCCTCAATCTGGGTGGGCGCCATCTAATCAGCTGCCAGTGTGGCTAGAATAAACAGGCGGAAGAAAGTGGAATGACGAGACTTGCTGAGTCTTCTGGCCTTTATCTTTTTCCCGTGCTGGATGCTTCCTGCTCTCCAACAAAAGACTCCAAGTTCTTCAGCTTTTAGATACTTGTACTTAAACCAGTGATTTATCAGGGGCTCTCGGGCCTTTGGCCACAGACTGAAGGCTGCACCGTCAGCTTCCCTACTTTTTGAGGTTTTGGAATTCGGGCTGGCTTCCTTGCTCCTCAGCTTGTAGATGGCCTATTGTGGGAATTCACCTTGTAATCGTGTGAGTCAAGTCTCCTAATAAACTCCCCTTCATATATACATATATCCTATTAGTTCTGTCCCTTTAGAGAAAGCTGACTCATACAGTCTTCTTTCTCCATCTGGCTCCTATCACACTGGTCATCGTATACGTGTCCTAAGAAGCAGGATGGAATAGGAAAAGGAAGTTGTAGCTTCCATAGTTAACAGTATACGCTGAGAATATCATGATTAACTTAAGTTGCCAATGTTGTTCAGCTCTTGCGTACGTCGTCTTCTCTATTCTAAGAGAGGCTGAAAAATTCAATCTTGTCCGTGGTTGCCATTACTGAGATTTCTTTCAGCTAAAAACAGGGATACTGTGATTAAAGTAGATAAATACACATTCATACTATTAACTAGTCATCACTGCCTCCTTCTGTGCAATGGCGCCTCAAGGAATTAAGGAGGAAAATTAGAATTCACTTCTTTCAGATTGTTTTTGACAAAAGCTGCTATAGTACAATATTACTCAGGTGTGTTTAAGAGGAATGAAAGTATTATTTCCTGCCTTTTACATTATTTCCTAAAAGTTCCTTTAACATAAGTTTAATAATTGGTTTCCAGCTACGTGGAAATATTTGACACTGGCCATTAGGCTTTTCCAGTAAAATAGTTTCAATAATGACTCTCAAAAAATATTAACATTCAGACTTCAGTTACCTGCTTAGCTTGATTTTATAATTAGAAATTTTGATTTTTCTTACAAATATATAACAAATAAAAATATATAATTATATCATCATTATATTACAAGAAGAAAAATAGTACAATGAATGACCACAAAAAGGTAGACAGTATGGTATTCCCTTTGTGTTGGAGAAGAAAACATGAAGCTGACAAATATATTTTTGGTTATGCTGAGTTCGAAGTGTTGGTAATACATTTATTTGGAAATATCCTCTAGACATAGAACAAATATTTGAAGTAGAAATTTGAGGCTCAAAATAAATGAGATTTTTGAAAAGCAGATAACTGCTCTCAGTGATTCTGAATCTCTTGATCTCTAAAAATTATATCTTGGGATACTAAAAATATTTGTAGGTGAATCCAAAACCCTTTTGAGAAATAGACAAGAAGTTAATAAACTGGAAGTACCATAAGTTAACATGAAGTAAATGAAATTGTGACTCCAAGAAAATGTGAAAAACATTTTACAAAACAATCTATCCTGAGGAAGTTTATCAAGCACATTGAATAGATTTTGCATCATTAAAAAATAAGTGATTATCAATTGGTACCATAATAATAAACAGCCATAAGAATGACTGTTTTTTATATGACTGCAAGAGATTTGAAACACTGGCATATGTGAAATTGAAGATATTTGATGAAGCAAACCAAGAAAGAAACATACTGGCTCTATGACACAACTGTTAGGTTAAACCGCAGTTGACTAAGTCACCTTTGAAAAAGTATTTCTTAATAGTCACTAAACAGGTGTGGGCTGAATAGAAGTAACATACCTCTATGTGGGTTCATTTGCTCTTTTTTGGGTTATAATTTTTGATTTTTCTACGACAAATTCCTGTTCATCCTTTGGAAGAAATCAAGCATCAGTTCTTCTGTGAGGGAGTATCTAACCCTCTACCTAGAGGACCACCTTTAACATATATATGGCACCACACATGTCTCTTTTGCAGAACTTGCCCCATTTGCTTGGGATGCTCATTTATTTTGACCACACACATACTTACAGTCCCATAGATCTAAAAATATAGAGGACAGGAATTTTGTCTATTTTAATCAGTAGCTTGAAAAAGTACTTTGGTGCTATGCTAATGAAGAAGTATAGTGAGAAAAAAACAGAAATATTTTAGATACAATTTTAAACATTTTGAAAAGTATTGAATATGCCAGGATAAAAGGAAACATTAAGAGTTTAAAGTCACATACGTTGGGACACAAAATGCACAATAACTGAATGGGAAATACGTTCTTCTTATTAGTAAGTAATGATTGTGAAAAATAGAGGTATTTTAATTGATTTTAATTTAAATAAGGATTGACTATGTGGAGGATATTATAATTCTATCAGTATTTCAGAAACATAAGAATGCTGCTTAGAATAAATAATTCAAAAAACACAGTACTTTGATCTGGTCAGATCACATCTCACTTTTGAACATTTTGTTTGATTTTTTTATTACATTTATTTAGTGTAACAGTCAAAAGGCATAAGGATGTAAACAATGAAAATATTTTCTTGAATCACAGTCCTCTATCTTCTTGGTTTCCATCCCTCTCAAACTCTCTCTTGAGTTTCCTTATGTCTGATAAGAAAACACAATTATGAATTATCCCCTTCCCCCATTTTACATATATAGGCAATATTTATATTTTGCTTGTTTTCCATTAAAATATATTTTAAAATATGCCCAACTTGAAACATAAAGTCTTTTTTATTTTTACTGCTGCAGAATTTTCCATTGAATTTTATTCAGTCCTCTATTGATAAACACTTTTGTTGTTCCCAATTGTTTGAAATTATAAGTGATACTTCAGTGAAAATATGTCAAATGTTTTGTTTCACATAAAGTTGCATAATCATGTGGGATATTCTTATATGTAGAGTTAATGTCTCACAGTGTATGGGAGATCATTTATAAGTTTAATATATGTCATCAAATTGACCTCTTAGTATCATACTTTAAGTATAATTCTGGTGCAATGCACATATCTTTGCATATTTTTCTATTAGATTATTAATCTTTTTTATCATTCACTAGAATCTTCTAGCTTGTTAGCAAGAGTCATCTCTTTTCATGATATAAGTTGCCAAGACTTTTTGTGTTTTGGTATTTATCTTTTGACTTTAGAGTATTTTTTGGGTCAGTCAAAAAAATTGAACTCATTTTTTGTTGATATGGTCTATTTTTTCAATCTTTTTATTTCTACTTTGAGATTGTGCCATAGTTTTAAAACAAAAGTTTCTCTAATTTAGAAAAAAACTTCCTTGTCTTTCTCTAACATTTTTGTCTCATTGTTTATAGTTAGAATTTTGATCTATTTGGAATTAATATTGTATAGTTTGAATTATATATCCAACACTTTTTTCCAGGTCATTAGCTTTTTATTCCAGCAATATTTAGTCTATTTATCCCTCTATCATCATTGCTTTCAAATGTCACTTCTAGTAGAGGCAATTAGGACTCACCAGATAGTCCAAATGATTCCTTATATATTCTTGTCTACTGTGCAATTTGGCTGGGACCATATGTGTTCTTGTGTCTGAAGAGCAGTTACCAATTATAGTGGGTTTCTCTTTTGAATAGGAGGTCATTGAAAGCTGATGTGCCACACTCATCCCATTTTCCTCCCTTCATGTCAACTCAACTGTCACATGTTGCAGAAGTTTTAATTCCACAGTGGCAGAGCCGTTATCAACCTAGGTACCCGAGTGAGCATGCATAACAAAACCTTGCCAGTCCATATTAGCCATGTAATGTGAACAAGAGATACAACACTGAAATTTGGAGGTTAATAACAGCAATATATCCTCTCCTAGCTAAAACGCTAAGCCATATTTGTCTTATACTAAAAACACATGTCTATTTAAACATATTTCTTAATTTTTATTTCCATTAGTGTGTGTGTGTGTGTATGTGTGTGTGAGGAGATACCTACCAAGATTGACAAGGAGGCCCCTTCCTGTCCTCTTTTTTTTATAGCTTAACAGAAAAGTATCTCACAGGCCTAGATAGCTTAAAGTAAGGATACATCAATGACACAGAATTCTCGAGTCTCATTTTTTTTCTGCAAAGATGACTTTACCAATTTGGGAACTAGATTTTTGAAACATTTTAGTATTTACAAATTTCCTTTTACATACAAAGAGGTTTTGCAAAAGAATTACTTGGCCACATTGATGGTACTAGCACTCAAAAGACACACATTATCTCTAGTTAAAATGCTGCATTTGGAGTTTAAGACCATCACCATTAATATAAATCTCAAGTATCTTGGATATCCATATTTATATTGAATTGCTCTAAATAGATCTACATCTATAATTATCATTAAGGCTATAATCTTACATATTTATAAACACATTGATTTAATCAATGTTTGACAGTTTTACATTCATGCCAAAAATTGATTACCAATTTAAAACAATGTGGATGTCTTTAAATGTATTGCTAAAATAGTTTTTATTTGTTGTAGGAAACTTTGAAAATTGAATAAAAGTTAGGTCAATCTATATAGAATAGAAATAAAATATTTAAAAAGACTGCACAGTATTTCTTAGAGTTTACAGATTCTACTGAATTTATTAAAGAGACTATCTGCCTCACTTTTTTTCCTATAAAGTGGAGATAGTAAGAGATAATCATTGTAAAGATTTTGACAACTCTATGTCACAACAAAGAGTGTTAGAATTAGCATTATAGCTACCTCAAAAATTATGACTACATTTAAAAAACTAAAGCCTTTGGAAGAATCAATGGGATACAAAATGCCAATAATTATTAATATTATTAACATTGAAAATGCTGACAGTGTTCAAAGACTAATACTTTTAAGATAATCATCACCTTAGTATGAAAATTTTTTAAGTTTTTAGTTGTAATAAATGTTCATTATTTTTAAAAAGATCATACTTGGAAGGTTTGAAAGGTATAAAAATATCAAATTCTTTTTTTAAAAAGCTCTAAGATTTGGTGGTCGTATTCTTTGGAGGTTGAAAAAAAATATCGAGGAATAGCATTTAGCACACAAATTCAGTCACTGCATTGTTCAGATGGCTATTTTTTTCTACCATCATTATTTTCTGTTAACATGGATTCCACTCAAAACAAAACAAGAGGCTGACCATTTTTCTAAAGTTTTATTCCTTATATTGGGGAGAATGTGATGAGTAAGAACAGAATAAATGTTTATGTCTTTCTAAAATAAATATTTATATGTCTTTCTAAAATAAATATTTATAACCATGGTTAATATTAATAATGGAGAAATAAATCATGCTCTGCCTCATTGATGTCTTTATCATGCCTCCTTAGGTGTGTATCGCTGCTTATTCCAACATTTGGTCATTGCCAACATTTTTAGGTTGACTTGATTTACAGCATCTTCCGTAATTAAATAATTTCTGTACTCTAGCCAAGCATTATAAGATTTATCTCATGCCTACCTGGACTCTAAATTTATTCTGGAAATTAGCTGGCATGAATTTATTTTCTCTATTCTCATTTGATAATTTTTCAGATACATCAACTGTTTTGCCAATATTTTATTAAGATATATCCACTCTTTTTTCCTTTGGATTTTCATGAATTTGATGGCTTTTCTGCAAAGTTTTCTAGAACCATATTTTATTCTAAAAACATTGTAACTATAGCTCATCTGGAAGAAAACTCAGAGTTAATTATTCATAAATTTGAATGTTGCTTCTATTGACCTTGTAAATGATTATATTTGATAATCTTGACCTGATTTATTAGGTGCTTTTGCTTACAATACCTCATGTATTTTATATATTATATACTACATTTACATAAGACTGCATAGAATACATGAATTGTGTATAATACACATGTAAATATAACACAATAAGGAATATGTGCATCATACACATTTCAAATATACACATATGGTATACATCAGAGAGTAACTGTCTCTGCCTCTGGTGTTAAATTTTATAAATAAAAAATAATGATGCCAGGTGCTGTAACATATTTACTAGCACCACTTCATCTTCATCTTTCTGTAAATTTCTTCTCAAACATAGTCTAATTTTAAGATAATTCCTCTCTTTCTGTTTTCAAATTTTGTGCCAGAAAATAACTAGAAATCATTCATATACTAGATTCCATTTCCCGCAATTTATATGTAATATTTATGAGTTTTGTTAGTTAAAACCAATCCAAGCAGACTTTCTTCTGTTGCAGTTATCATTAGGCAGTTTAATTTTGTCTCTCTACTAAGATGTTTGTTTGCCCTTCAACTTTCTTAAACATTTTTCCATTTTTCTCTCTGCAATTTAACCTATCAACTGATGTGTTGCAGTATTGGCAATTCTACTTTATTTTCCAATTTTCTGGTACATGTTATGAATGAAATGTCTTCCTAGTTACAGAAACATTCTGTGTATCTGGCTTTCTCAGAATCCCTTTAAAGATACAGCAGGTAGAGTGACAACTGAAATGTTTAATGAAATGTTTCCTTTATGTATCCATTTGTGGGTGGTTAATAAGAGTCTAAAACCCCCTTCAAAGTAGCGCATGTGTAGTACCTGTTCAGCTGGCACTGATTCTGTGGCCTTCTATATTGTCAGCAGCAGAGAATTTGAATCGTCATTAATTTTCTTATAACAGTAACTCAAATAATTTAAAAGTATTTATTGATAATGGATGCAAGATTAATGTAAATGAATTTGCTAGGAATAAGATAAGTTTTCTGGGAACTAGATGAATTTACCTGAATAGAAAGGGAAAAGGTAAAATGACCTCAGAGATGGTGGCTTTCTCAGTCTGAAGTGGTCTGAATTCATTCATTCTTATGTCTTGAACACATGCTGCTGAGATTTGATATAGGTCTGGCTTCAAAGCACAGCTTTTTAAACACTTGTTTATATTCCCTAAGGGAGTATTACAGATCACAATCTTTGAAAATAATTCAATAACACATTATTAATAAACAGACGACCCCCAAAATCAATGACTTAGAAATCAGTAGTTTCAAAATGAAGGTTGTAACAAAGATGACATTAAAACTAATATCTAAATTACATTTTGATTAATTTTGGCCATTGCATTTTTCCAGAAAAAAATTAATGTCCTTTAATTTGTATTTGTTTGCCGTGTAATTGAATTTATGCATCTTTTAAAACAAAATCTCAATGATTTTTTTCTTCTAAATTTATGGTTATATCTTTCATTCCTAAACTTATCCAGTTTTTCTGGCTTCTCTGTCCTTTTATCTGACTCTCTCTCTCTCTTTCCCTCTCTCTTTCTCTTGCTGTCTCTCTTTCTCTCTCTCTCTGTCTCTCTCTCTCTCTATATATATATATACATATAGTGTTTTTACTTAAACAAATTCTAATTTGTCTCTGTGTATTTTAAAATAACAAAATTTTGTATTTATCATTTTTATGTTTTGATTTTTAGTTCTTTAATATTTTAATATTTTCAGCTTTTAAATTAAGGAACTTATATTTCTAGAAAGTTTTTTTTATTTTTTTATTATTTATTTATTTATTTTTGAAACAGAGTTTCACTCTTGTTGCCTAGGATGGAGTGCAATGGCGTGATCACGGCCCACTGCAACCTCCACCTCCTGGGTTCAAGCGATTCTCCTGTCTCAGCCTCTGAAGTAGATGGGATTACAGGCATGCATCACCACGCCCGGCTAATTTTGTATGTTTAGTAGAGATGGGATTTCTCCATGTTGGTCAGGCTGGTCTTGCACTCCTGACCGCAGGTGATCTGCCCACCTTGGCCTCCCAAGTGCTAGGAGTTTAACTTGTTCTTTTGTTAAGTTTTTAGAAGATTAGTACAAGGTTTATTTATTTTCCTTTTGTGTTAAGTAATAAAGGCACTAAAAGTAAATTAAAGGCATTCAAAGGCTTATATGGAAATACTCTTTTTCATTGGTTTGTGGATAGATTATCACTTTGAATTTCCTCTTTGACACAAAGGCTATCTAAAAGTAGGTTTTCTAATTTCAAAGAAGTTATAATTTTGAATAATTTTTATTATTTGTATTTAATTCTATTGATTTCTAAAATGTAGATTTTTAAATGTCTTACTTTAAGAATTTTAAGCACTTTGTAGTAAACAATATGAAAAATTTTCTGCAAATGTTCCAAATGTATCCTTGATTTTATGCCTGAATTTAAGAGCATTACTGCTCTTTTGTTTTGCCATTTCTTGCTATTGCTTGAATTGCCCTTTATTTTTAAACTTCTGCAAAATTAAGTATATATACTTTAAAATTTTACAGAAATAATTGAAATTCTGGTATTTCCATGCAATATACAGAATATATTTTCTACTAATAGAATTTTCCTGTTTCAAGAATCCTTAATAACCACTTAACTAATTATCAATCTCTCAATCATTATATGTATATGTGTGTGTGTATATATATGTATGTAAATATATACATAGTCAGATAAAACATTTTGTTTTTCACTGCAGACAGCTTAAACATATTTTATTTCTTTTGGAGGTCTTTGCTTGTTTGTTTTGGGTTGTGTGTGTGTGTGTGTGTGTGTGTGTGTGTGTTTTGAGTTATTATTTATTGAGTATTTTCCTCAAATTGATATGCAGGATACATAGTCTGAAACATTTACTAGTTTACACATATATTTATTTAATCTGCTCTGTGAAAATTATCTTGACTGCCATATGTTTCTTGGGCTAAACTTCTCAGATTTTAATGTGCATATGAATCTATCAGTATTTTAATAAAATGCAGACCTGACATTGTAAGTCTGAGATGAAGTCTGATACTCTGTTTCTCTAAGAAGCCCACAGGTGATGCCAATATTTCCACTCTGTAGATTGCAAATAATTTAAATAGTAAGGTTGTACTTTGCCATTCTTATCTCTCTGTAGTCTATAGATGTTATTCTATAACTTTTTGTCTATAGATGTTACTCTATATCTTTTTGCTACTCTATATGCTGTCTGATTCTTTTTTCTTTAACTTTTCTTTTTTTTCTTTTTTTGAAATGGGGTCTCACTCTGTGGCCCAGGCTGGAGTGGTGCAGTGGCATGATCTCAGCTCACTGCAACATCCACCTCCTGGTTCAAGCGATTCTCCTGCCTCAGCCTCCTGAGTAGCTGGAATTCAAATTGCACACCACCACACCTGTCTAATTTTTGTATTTTTAGTAGAGAAGGGGTTTCGCCATGTTGGCCAGGCTGGTCTTAATCTCCTGACCTCAGGTGATCCACCTGCCTCAGCCTCCAAAAGTGCTGGTATTACAGGAGTAAGCCACCGTGCCTGGCCTGATTATTTTTCTTCTGTTAGTTATTTATGCATTTTTCCAGAGAGCTTGATAATTATTTTCTCCTTACACTTACAGCTCGATAATATTTTTTATTATAATTCTGGGTGTACTTCCTGATGTTGGTGAAGGTTTAAATTTGCTGATTTAGGTTCTCCTTTCTGTATTAAAATAAATTTCTGTTGTTTAATGGTCACATTTTATTATTTCACATTAGATCTCATGGATCTCATGTACTTTTCTTTTAGTATTTTAATCCTGTGTTTTGAGATAGTTTCCTTCAATAATTGTAGGATACCATTTTTATTTTCATTAGTGATCATGTTTTTCTCCAATTCAATTACATCTTTTTACTTGAAGATTATTTTGTTAGTGACAGTATTTTTATTTTTGTACTATACTTGAAACACCCCAAGGGTTTAATAACAACACTAAAACTCTTGTTATTGTTTCTTTTCTTCAAGTTGTCTTTTATTTCCCCTGCCCTTTCTTTGCAGTAGAGATCTATTTGGATTGGTCTTTTGTTCTCTCTGTTGGAATAGCAGGCTTCAGTGTGATTTTGGTTTTGCTTTCCTGCTTGTTAGGGAGCCTTAGGGACAACAGTGGAAGCTGCTATGGCCCTTAATACCTCAAACTAGTGGCATGGCCTTAGCCAATTTCCTGGTCCCATTTCTAGGTACTGAGAATAAGTCATTTTCCCCCGTCCTTCATATTTACTGGTAGTCTTAGGGATGGAGAAAACTTAGTTAAAGCCTTAGCAACTTTTTATTTTCTGGTGGCAAGGATTACTGCGCATTCCCACCCTGACTGATGAGTCCAAGGATCTTCACAGACGAAGGAAGCGCCACATTCAAATCTTTGTCCAGAGGCTTTTTATATTTAAAGTCTAATCTAAAAATAAGAATGTGCAACACTGGGCCTCTGTTCTGTCTCCTTCAGGATCTGTCTCAGCAGGGAAATGGATTAGGTAAGCTTTTTGCTTGATTTTACATTGCGGATGTATGTTAGGTGGTAAAATCATAGTTTTCTATCTAACCTAAATCTCCCTGTTTCTCCCATGAATACTTCAAACGAAATAATTTGAAATATGACTGATGGAGTCCAGTACATTCCCATTATATGTGAAGAATTTGGATAAAAATAGTCTTTATGGCAGCCAAGTTTTAAGTTCGCTATTGTTCATAAAATTATTTCTGGAAATTGTAAGTGGTTGTTTTATTCTCTTCTGAGAGCGGACATGTCATAGCCATGTCCCTGATTTTTCTGAGCTATTTTTATTGGTGTTTTTAAAACATGTATCTACTTTATTTTTTTATCAGTGATATTCATATAGAATGCAGAAAAAACAGGATCTATGAAAATGACATTTGCTTGTTGAGTAACGTAAGAAAAGTAATATATTAGCATGGTGAGTACTCCACTGGTATGGCACTCTAGGAAACTGAATGTTGGGGTAAATGTATTAGGTCTTCTTTTCTAATTTGAAGTTAGTTTAATTATGTCTAAGACAATAGAACATAGAGATTTAACAGTCATCTTTATTGAGCACTGAATTGTACCTGGTTTATAATTCAGGATTATAAAATTAATATTATTTTTGTAGCCAATATTATTAACTTTGAGAAGAATTTAGTAAGAGTATCCATTTAACAATGTCAGCATTGGAACAAAGTGTAAATAGTTTTTGCTATCATACTCAATCCATTTATAAAGAAAATTTGAAGTATTTATAGATCCCATACATATTTTTAAATTTATGCATTTATCTTGAATAATAAAATAATTCTATATAAAACATTCTTAAAAATACAATGCACTTTGGATTATGATTTTTTAATAACACTAGATTACTATTGCTAGGTTCCCTCTACTTTCTGCCTGTTCACAATAACCTAGCAGTTCTGACCTAAAGATTTTGAAGACTGTCTTCTTGAATAATGAATGCAATTTAAACTAGATTCTAAATATGTTGATGTCTTACAGGGCCACATTTCTCAGAATTCCAATGTCAGATACATATTAGAACTAGGTTTCCAGTTTTTTTTGTATTTCTGTATACTTTTTATTGAAATGCTTTTAGCAAGTGCACATATCTTAAGTGCATATTCCAATAGATATTTACGAAATACATCCCTTTATAATCAAGATATAGGAAACTGCCAGAACCCAGAAGTCTTCCACATGTCTCCTTTTTCTTAGACATTGTTTTTGATGATGTTGACCATTTTGAGAAGTACTGGTCAGATATTTTGTAGCATGTCTTTGGTATGGGATTTTTCTGATTTTTCTGATGCTTTTCTTATGATTAGACTGGGGTCATAGGTTTTGTAGTGAAGGCTGCAGAGGTAAGTTGCCATTCTCATCATATCACATCAAGGACACATAAAATAAAAAAATCACTGTTGATGCTAATCTAAGCTGAAGTAACATTTGTCGGGTTTCTCCGCTGTAAAGTTCTCTTTTTTCCTCCTTTTTGCGGTACTGTTAGGAAAGAGTAACTATGCATGGCCCGCAATGAAAGAGTGGCAAGTTAGGCTCTACTATCCTGAGGGCAGAATATGCATAGAAATTATTCTGAATTCTTCTGTACAGGAAAGTTGTCTCTTCTTCCCCGTTTATTTATTAACTCGATCAATTAGTTGCATCACTATAAAGTCATAGTTATTTTATACTTTGGGTTATAATTTAACACTATTTTATTTATTTGGTTGTTAAAATTGTTCCAGCTTTTGTCAACAAGAGCAATTTCAGTTGGCTCCTATGTTGCTCTGAAAAAATCTAATCATTATGGAATTTTTTTTTTTAGCACTTTCTAACTTTCTGGCACATCAAGGTGCTCCAGGTTCATATTGCATATTTTTTGCCTGAGAATCAGTCATGTCTCCAAAAAGCACTTGATCTTTTTATTGATGAATGGAGTTAGATACCAAGATATGGGCACTAAATATCCTTGTTACTATGGGCATGTTACTTTTAGGCTCTCTCAGCTGATTGAAAAAGGGAATATACAAATGCATACAAACCCATGTATATATCATATATTCATGAATATTTTTATGGGTAGTCATCTGTATTAGTTTCTTTAGGCTGTAATTAACAAAGTACTACAATCTAAGTGTGTTAAAAAGACAGAAATGTATTATGTCACAGTTCTGAAGTCTAGAAGTCTGAATTCAAGGGACCAGCACAGTCATGCTCCCCCTGTGTGACCTACAGAGGAAAATTCCTTCTTGCCTCTTTCTAGCTTCTGGTGCTGAGACAGAAACTTGCTGGAAATTTTCAGCATTCCTTCACTTGCAGCAACATCACTTCAATCTCTGCCTCTGTGATCACATGGACTTTTCCCCTTGTGTGCCTGTCTCTGTATCTCTTTTCTTTTTAAAAAGACACCTTTCTTCCTATCCATGAGCATAGAATGTTCTTCCATTTGTTTGTGTCCTCTTTTACTTCGTTGAGCAGTGGTTTGTAGTTCTCCTTGAAGAGGTCCTTCACATCCCTTGTAAGTTGGATTCCTAGATATTATATTCTTTTTGTAGTAATTGTGAATGGGAGTTCACTCATGATTTAACTCTCTGTCTGTTATTGGTGTATAGAAATGCCTGTGATTTTTGCACATTGATTTTGTATCTTGAGACTTTGCTGAAGTTGCTTAAAAGCTTAAGGAGAGTTGGGGCTGAGATGATGGAGTTTTCTAAATATACAATCATGTCATCTGCAAGCAGAGAAATTTTGACTTCCTCTTTTCCTGATTGAATACCCTTTATTTCTTTCTCTTGTCTGATTGCACTGGCCAGAACTTCCAACACTATGTTGAATAGGAGTGGTGAGAGAGGGCATCCTTGTCTTGTGCCTGTTTTCAAAGGGAATACTTCCGGCTTTTGCCCATTCAGTATATTGGCTGTGGGTTTGTCATAAAAAGCTCTTATTATTTTGAGAAACTTTCCATCAATACCTAGTTTATTGAGAGTTTTTAGCATGGAGGGCTGCTAAATTTTGTCGAAGGCCTTTTCTGCGTCTATTGAGATAATCATGTGGTTTTTGTCATTGGTTCTGTTTATGTGATGGATTACGTTTATTGATTTGCGTATGCTGAACCAGCGTTGCATCCCAGCGATGAGGCTGACTTGATCATGGTGGATAAGCTTTTTGATGTGCTGCTGGATTCGGTTTGCCAGTATTTTATTGAGGATTTTCGCATCGATGTTCCTTAGGGATACTGGCCTAAAATTCTCTTTTCTTGTTGTATTTCTGTCAGGCTTTCGTATCAGGATGATGCTGGCCTCATAAAATGAGTTAGGAAGGATTTCTTGTTTTGCTATTGATTGGAATAATTTAAGAAGGAATGGTACCAGCTCCTCTTTGTACCTCTGGTAGAATTCGGTTGTGAATCTGTCTGGTCCTGGACTTTTTTTGGTTGGTAGGCCATTAATTACTGCCTCAATTTCAGAACCTGTTATTGGTCTGTACACAGATTCAACTTCTTCCTAGTTGAGTCTTGGGAGGGTGTATGTGTCCAGGAATTTATCCATTTCTTCTAGATTTTCTAGTTTATTTGTGTAGAGGTGTTTATAATATTCTCTGATGATAGTTTGTATTTCTGTGGGATTGGTGGTGATATACCCTTTATCATTTTTTATTGTGTCTATTTGATTCTTCTCTCATTTCTTCTTTATTAGTCTTGCCAGTGGTCTATTTTGTGGAGTTTTTCAAAAAACCAACTCCTTGATTAAGTGATTTTTTTGAAGGGCTTTCTGTGTCTCTATCTCCTTCAGTTCTGCTCTGATCTTAGTTATTTCTTGCCTTCTGCTAGCTTTTGAATGTGTTTGCTCTTGCTTCTCTAGTTCTTTTAATTGCGATGTTAGAGTGTCAATTTTAGATCTTTCCTGCTTTCTCTTGTGGGCATTTGGTGCTGTAAATTTTCCTCTACACACTGCTTTAAATGTGTCCCAGAGAGTCTGGTACATTGTGTCTTTGTTCTCAATGGTTTCAAAGAACATGTTTATTTCTGCCTTCATTTTGTTATTTACCCAGTAGTCATTCAGGAGCAGCTTTGTTCAGTTTCCATGTAGTTGAGTGGTTTTGAGTGAGTTTCTCAATCCTGAGTTCTAATTTGATTGCACTGTGGTCTGAGAGACAGTTTGTTGTGATTTCTACTCTTTTGCATTTGCTAAGGAGTGTTTTACTACCAATTATGTGGTCAATTTTAGAATAAGTGTGATGTGGTGCTGAGAAGAATGTATATTCTGTTGACTTGGGGTGGAGAGTTCTGTATATGTCTATTAGGTCTGCTTGGTCCAGAGCTGAGTTTAAGTCCTGGATATCCTTGTAAATTTTCTGTCTCATTGATCTGTCTTATATTGACAGTGGGGTGTTGAATACTCCCGTTATTATAGTGTGGGAGTCTAAGTCTCTTTGTAGGTCTCTAAGAACTTGCTTTATGAATCTGGGTGCTCCTGTATTGGGTGCATATATATTTAGGATAGTTAGCTCTTCTTTTTGAATGGATCCCTTTACCATTATGTAATGGCCCTCTTTGTCTCTTTTGATCTTCGTTGATTTAACGTGTTTTGTCAGAAACTAGGATTGCAAACTCTGCTCTTTTTTTTTTTCTGCTTTCCATTTGCTTCGTAGATCTTCCTCCATCCCTTTATTTTGAACCTATGTGTTTCTTTGCACATGAGATGGGTCTCCTGAATACAGCACACTGATGGATCTTGACTCTTTGTCCAATTTGCCAGTCTAGTTTTTTAATTAGGGTATCTAGCCCATTTACATTTAAGGTTAATATTGTTATGTGTGAATTTGACCCTGTGATTATGATGTTAGCTGGTTATTTTGCTTGTTAATTGATGCAGTTTCTTCATAGCATTGATGGCCTTTACAATTTGGCATGTTTTTGCAGTGGCTGGTACCGGTTGTTCCTTTCCATGTTTAGTGCTTCCTTCAGAAGTTCTTGTAAGGCTGGCCTGGTGGTGACAAAATCTCATAGAAATTGCTTGTCTGTAAAGGATTTTACTTTTCCTTCACTTATGAAGCTTAGTTTGGCTGGATATTAGATTCTGGGTTGAAAATTCTTTTCTTTAAGAATGTTGAATATTGGTTCCCGTGCTCTTCTGGTTTGTAGGGTTTCTGCCAAGAGATCCGCTGTTAGTCTGATGGGCTTCCCTTTGTGGGTAACCCGACCTTTCTCTCTGGCTGCCCTTAACATTTTTTCCTTCATTTCAACTTTGGTGAATCTGATAATTATGTGTCTTGGGGTTGCTCTTCTTGAGGAGTATCTTTGTGGTGTTCTCTGTATTTCCAGAATTTGAATGTTGGCCTGCCTTGCTAGGTTGGGGAAGTTCTCCTGAATAATCTCCTGAAGAGTGTTTTCTAACTTGGATCCATTCTCCTCGTCACTTTCAGGAATGCCAATCAAACGTAGATTTGATCTTTACACATGGTCCCATATTTCTTGGAGGCTTTGTTCATATTTTTTTCACTCTTTTTTCTCTAATCTTGTCTTCTCACTTTATTTCATTAATTTGATCTTCAATCACTGATATCCTTTGACTGTGGAAACTTGTGCATGTGTCATGAAGTTTTTGTGCTGTGGTTTTCAGCTCCATCAGGTCATTTAAGGTCTTCTCTACAGTGGCACTATTCACAGTAGCAAAGACTTGGACCCAACCCAAATGTCCTTCAATGATAGACTGGAGTAAGAAAATGTGGCACGTATATACCATGGAATACTATGCAGCCATAAAAGGAGATGATTTTATGTCCTTTGCAGGGACATGGATGAAGCTGGAAACCATCACTGTCAGCAAACTATCACAAGGACAGAAAATCAAACACTGCATGTTCTCACTCCTAAATGGGAGTTGAACAATGAGAACACTTTGACACAGGGCAGGGAATATCACACACCGGGGCCTGTCAGGGGGTGGGGGCTGGGGGAGGGATAGCATTGGAGAAATACCTAATATAAATGACAAGTTGATGGGTGTAGCAAACCAACATGGCACATGTATACCTATATAACAAACCTGCACATTGTGCACATGTATCCTAGAACTTAAAGTATAATTAAAAAAAAAGAGACACCTTTCATATGAGATTAAGGACCCATTCTACTACATTATGGCCTCATCCAAACTAATGAACTTATTATACAATGACCCTTTTTCTAAATCAGATCACATTTGAAGGTACTGGTGCTTAGGACGTCAACATAGAGTTTTTGGAGACAAAACTCAACCCATAACACTATCTATATCTGCATTAAGCTAAACATGAGTTCATACTGATGCTTCCAACTCTAATTCATTACCATATGGACTATTCTTGCCTTATTTACTTGCTTATCTGCTACCTTCCAATTTAACAGTCAGAACGTTTGCTCCTTTTATCTACCTCCATTTACTTTATTCAACCTCTGTATGCATGTTGTTGAGTTTTAAGAGTTCTTTGTATGTTTTGGATAGAAATCTTTTGTATGTTTTAGATAGAAACCAGATACTGTAAACAGGTTTTCCTAGTCTGTGGCTTTTTATTCTCTTAACAGTGTTTTAAAGAGCAGAAATTTTTTTATTTTAAAAAAGTCTAATTTATAAAGCATTTTTCTTAATGGATGATGATGTTAGTGTCATATGTAAAAACTTATCATCAAATACCATGTTATACACATTTCATATAGATAGGGTTACTTGATGAATTAATACTTAAATTTATTGATATAGTTTAATTAACGTCTGTCATTTTACATTTTGTTTTCTGTATGTCTCATATCTTAGTGTATATGTTTCCACCTCTTCTTTATTGATTTATTTTAGAATAAGAGACTATTTTCTAATGTAACATTTTAATGTCTTTAATCATTTTACACTATTTAGTTTTAAGTTATTTCTTTGGTGATTTCTCAAAGTCTACCATATAAATCTTAACTAACCAGAATCTGTCTCAGATATATACTGATTTAATTACAGTGAGATATAGAAAAGCCACTCCCATATAACTCAATTACATTTTCCTCTTTTTTAAGGTATTAATATTATACACATTTTATTTATATATGTTATCTATTCAGCAGTACATTTTTATAATTAATATTTTATATTTTTATGTGCCTTAAGGAAGGTAAGAAAGGAATGGGGAGCAACTATATATTTATGTATTTTGATATATTTATTTTCTATTTGCTATCTCACTTTTTCTTGTGAGTTTCATTGATAATTGGGAGTCAGTTTCTCAGCCTATTCTTGCCTTACTAGCACAAAGAAGATGTGTCTATGCATACTAACTCATGTATATATGGGACACAAAAGAGATGTGTCTCCTTTGTGCTAGCATGGGAAAATACATTATATTTCTATGTGTATGCTTGACAATATAATTATATATATTGATTTTTAATTCATCTGAGAGAAGAAAGGAGATAAAATATGCATTTACAGTGTTTTTTACAATTTCATAGTGATCTTCACTATTTTTTTTTCACACAGCTTTAAACTATTGTTTGGACTCACTTGCTACCAGTCTGAGAAATTTCCTTTTTTTTTTTTTTTTTCTTTTTTTTTTATTTGCCGAGATGGAAAGTGAAGTCTGAGAAACTTTCTTTGTTATTTCCTGTAAATCAGTTCTACTCACTACAAGTTCTTTTAGATTTTGTTTTTCTTGTAATGTTATTTCAGCTAGATTTTTGAAAGATAACTTTGCTGAATGTAGTATGTAGTTTCCTTGGATGACACGGATTTTTTTTTTACTTTTTGAACATTTTGAATATGTGATTCTACAGCTCTCTAGCTACCATTATTTCTGATGAGAAGTAAACTGCTAATCCTGTTCGGGATTATACGGAAGTAATCATTTTCTCTTACTGCTTTCAAGATTTCTTCTTGTCTTTAACGGTCAGCATATTCACTATGACATATCTGTAGATATTTTTTGTGTTTATCTAACTTAGATTATGATCATTTTCTTTAATGAATAAATTAACTATTTTCATCAAATTTTGGACGTTTTTAGACATTATTTGCTTAAAAAAATTATTTCCTCTCCTTTGACCTTCCCATTTGTATGTTGTTGCACTTAGTAGTCCCTAACATTTCCCTGAGACTATATTCATGTTCCCTCATTCTTTCTCTCTACTCTTCCAATTGCATAATCATTATTGATATATCTTTATGTTAGCTGTGTTTCCCATTGAAAGTCAACTGATGAACCTGTATAGTAAATTTTTAATTTTAGTTATTGTACTTGCAGCTCCAGAATTTCCATATATGATTGTTAATTGGTGCCTTAGTTAGTCTGTGCAATGAGAACATGTTTCCCGATGTCCCCGATGCTTGTGGATCTTTGTTCATGTCTGGGTATTGAAGAGTTAGATATTTAGTCTAATCTTGACAGTCTGGACTTCTTGCTGTCCATCCTTCTTGAGAGGGCTTTCCAAGAATTCCAAGGAGATTGTGTGTTGCTACTTATGCCTGTGATCACTGCAGCCCTATAAACACTCAGAGTGGCCTAAGCCCAGTAACTCTTTGAGTCTTGCAGACTCCTAGATCCACAGCCTTGGTGGAATTGGTGAAGATAAACGATTATACCTTGGTTCCCAGGTAAGGCAGCTCACTCTGTTCTCTCACTTTCCCTCAAGCAGAAGGAAACTCTTTATGCTGGCCTGCCTAAAGTTAGGGGAGGGGCGATATTGGACTCTCCCAGGGCCACAACAGCTGGAACTGTGCTGGGTCACACCTCAACCCCACAGCCTCCCAAACCAGCACAGTACTGAGGTTTGCCCAAGTCTGTAGCTGCTATTGTTTGGCTGCAGCTGATGTTTCTTTAAGGCCCGAGGCCACTTGATTCAGCAGGTGGTGAATCCTTCTGGGGCTGGATTCATCTCACCAGAGCAGCAGATTTCTTGCTAACCCAGGGTGGGTCTAGAAATTTGATCCAGGAGCAGAGGCCTGGAACCAGGGGCTTCAGGAATTTCCTGGTGCTTTTTTTTACTTTGGCAGAGCTGGCATTCAAGTTGCAAGACAACGTCTTCTGTACACTTTGCCCTCCTTCCACCAAGCAGAAGTTTTCCTCTCTCTGCACTTACTGGAGTTTGGGGAAGAATGATGCAGGCACTCCCACAGCCACTGCAGCTAATGTTACACTGGGTTACACCCCAAGCCCACCGCTTTCCAGACAAGCACATCATCAGAGCATGTCCAAGACTGCAACTTCTGTGGCCTGACTGCCACTCAAATTTATTTGGGTTCTTAGACTGTTTTAATCAACTAACTGGTGGTGAAGCTGGCTGAGATAAGGGTTCCTCTGTCTGGGGCAAATGATAGTTCTCTCACCCAGGGCTGGGGTAAATGCTCCCTCCATGAGCAGAAGCAAAATTCTGCCTGTATTGTGTTCCTCTGCAACAGGGAGCACTGAATTTTAATGCAAAGTCACACACTCACTTTGCTCTCCCTCTCACAAACACACAGATTCTCTCTGTGCCGTACTGCCTGGCCTTAGGGAAAGGGTGGTGTAGACAATGCAAGACTGTCCTTCCTACCCTCTTCAATGCCTCTTTCCTTGTATTTATGTTAAAAGAAGGAACTGTTCTCACCTGATTTTTTTGGTTCTTATGAAGGTGATTTCTTGTTTGGATCATTGTTCAATTTGGTGTTCCTGTGGGGAGATAATCACTGAAAGGTTCTAATCAGCTGTCTTTATCATACATACTTTTAATTGTAGAATATTTGTCTTTGAATGGCTGATCACAAAGAAACAGAGAAAATCATAATATTTTTGAGGCATTGTGTTCACAAAAGACCCAATTCTACCCTACATTTAACTGTTATCCCACCCATGAGTTAGAATGTACTGCTTACTCCTTTTCTTTTATCTGAGTGTATGTTCTGAGTGTATGTTTCTTTTATCTGCGTGTATGTTCTAATAAGATAGGGACACTGTTATTCTCAACCCGTATTCTTGAAATACTAAATGGAAAGCAGTGTTCAGTGATATGAGAAAAGATATATCAGGCAGAAATATTGTTTTCAATTAGCTTACAACACACCACTTAAGTAGAATATAATACATAAGTAATTGGTGAGCTTAAGGAATATTAATTAAGGGCACAAATAAATATGTTTGAATAAATGGAAATGATTTTATATGTAAGACAGATGTTTAGAAATCCCTTCTATATTTTTACTTATATATTAATATTTGTACTATATTATATCCATGCACATAGATATAAAATGTATATTTTACATGCATATACAAAAATCTCATAGATTAAAAGGTAAGTATGAACACATTAATAACATGTTAATGTGCAATATGCACGTAACACCTCACTGTGGCTATAAATCTTTTACACTTTAATTTTACTCTGTGATACTCAACATATTCTAGTTCCTGTCAAGCCTTCAGGGTAAGGTTTATATTAGTGTGTAGCCCAGTGCTTTTCAAATTTTAGAGTGCACTGGATTTCCTAGGGGTATATGACAGTATATACAAAATCATTTTCAGAAATATTGGTTCAGTGGGTCTACAGCAAGGAGCAGCATTCTGTAATTTTAACAGGTAACTTTTGAGAAATGCTGAATTAGTTTTCAGAATACTTCAATTGCAGATACGCTTGGATAGAACTCATTTCACTGATTTGCATTAAAGGAACAAATCTAGCCTATTATTTTGTGAGAATAGAAAAAAATGAATAAGTTATTTCTTTGTTCTTTACTTAATGTAGAATGCCATTATGCATTACTCCTGTCTGTATTTCTATAGTAAGTTCCTTAGAGGACAGAGTACAACTACCTTTAAACTTAGTTACTGCTGATTTCCTAGGTGACAGTGAAATAAGATTTCTGAAAAAGGGATTATAGACTAAGATTCGTTCATCTAATTCACATTTAGAGTGAAACTTTTCATATTTAATTTTCTATATTTTTCCAATCTTGGTCAAATACCTCAAAAGATATTCTTGCCCTTGAATTTTTTTTTTTTTTTTGGAAGTTCAGTGTTAAGGCTAAAAAATGACCTCAACGATTTCTCTTGATACTTTCCATTCTCTTAATTCCATCCCATTACTCCTTGGTATGCCTTCTTGCACTATGGTAAAGTATTCCTCATCTGTCTCTAATATTTACACATGTCAAATACAGATGCATTATTCTAAATTGAAATGAGTACCGTGGCAGCAGTAAACATGAGAGCGATGTAACAATGAAATAAATAGAGCCTAGCTAAGCATATACAAGGATTTACAAACTGCTGCAACAAAGATTAAAAGTCACTCTGACAAGAGCATTAGAAAGTCTTTGCCTGACCTTTAGTTAATGAGTGATCATGTTTCAGCACAAGCACTTTATGGCAGTAGCGAGTATCTAGCAAATCATTATTATTTATCTCCCATGCTATTATAAAGAATGCAATCATAGCTATTTGGATTAATTCATATTTATGAAACTAGTCTAACAACATATTGTATTACAAGTAAAAGAAAAATGTTCACTCCTTTCCTTGTATCTCCTACTCTATCCTATGTTATTTAAAAATTTATAGATAAGCTAATGTACCTGGAAACTCTCCCATACTTTCTTGGTTTCTTTTTTATTTAAATATGTGAAAATGTGTGACTTGATACAGGAATACATATACCCTTTTAATTTTAGGCCATCTACATTTGCCCAAAATACAAACCCATAATGTAATGTTATATATATATATTCATTTTCCCATTCAAATATATGATGAAATAGAGATTACATGAGAAATATGCTTACTTAATAGCAAACTTTTTTTCAATATAATGAAGGATATTTCAAGTAATTTCTCAGAATTTCTTGGGTCCTTAACTACAAATTGGAAACTCAATTAGTACCAGTCCCAAAGATTTGCTAGCTGTTTTAAACAGCAAAACTAAACTAAAATTTAATTGTCTATCCCAAAAAACAGAAAGTATAGGTGATATTTTTACAGAGATGAAATAGTGCCTTTTTGGTTCCATGATTTTTTTTCCTTTTTTTCTTAGTAACAGAATTCCAATTATATCCAGCCAAGCAATGTCAAACTACAATATCAAAGAGATGTTGACTGCAATAGTTAGGTGAGATTTTTAAATGGCTCTTTAAAGAGCAGAGATTTTTAAGAATAAAACCTTTAGAAGGTTTTCCCACCTTCTTTTATAAGCAATTATAAAATACTTTTCAGTTACTAATCTTTACCTACCATTTTTTTCCTAAAGTCTCACTCCTATAGCAGGGGTCTTCTCCTTCCTTCTGCTGTTTATCCAGTCTGAGATCATCAGTACACACCTAGATTCTAATCATCTCATTCACTTTCTTATTTTTAATTCTTTATGTTTGCACTCAGCTATTAAATTCATATGCTTTCATAATTTCTATCTTTTGTTCAAAATAATTTCTTAACTTTGCTTTGTCATACACAAACTTAAAACTAGCATTTAAGAGCATCCTCCATTAGATTGTATGATAACTCTCCATTTCTTCTTTCTGTCTCCTAATTGAAGGAAGTGGTTCCTGTGAGAACAGTTTATTCCAAATCCTCTGTTATCCATGTCTTTGCATGAAGAAGTGTGCCTTATCTCATTCTGTACTAAGATCCACATAGTGCCCCCTGATTATTTCCCTGTTCAAGGTCGTTGTCTTCCATAGAACCCTTCCTTAGCACTCTAGTATACCATGGATTTTCTTTCTCTAAATGTTTATATGTCATATATATCACACTAATCTATTAATGGAAATATTAATTTTATATCAATCTTATGCAACTTTTTATTGTGGGGAATTTAACCTGTTACTTATTGCCTCAAGTACCTCAAAGACAGAAAATATAACCATTTCATACACCTCATAGCTCACATTCACAACACCCAACATATTTGTATTGGTCTGGTCACTGAGAAAGTTTATCTATCTAAATATATTTTCACCACAACTTTTAAGACTTCTTTAAAACAGAAACTCACAACTTTCCTCTCCACCATAATATTAATCTGTTAGTTATTATCACAAATTACTCCAATTAACCTTAGTGTTCTACTTGACCTTGTGAACATAAGCTAACTGTTTTCCTCAAACATTCTAGAGTCCCATGTTAACTAGGGAACATGCAGACACACATACACACACACACACACACACACACACACACACGACAAATTAAAATGCATAATAATTTAAAAATAAACATTTGAGAAAACATTTTCCACTCCATTAATATCTTTTAACCTACTCACAACCATTTATGAAACACATACTTAATGTAAGCCAGACAAATTAAAATTCTTTCATAGGTTTTTCTAATTTAAGGTAGTATGGAGTCTTCATTTATTTCTTGGTCAGAAGTTATGCATATTACCCAAAACACAGCAGTTGTTAATTCCTCCCATACCATAAAAAAGGGGAACAGAAGGAAAAGTACCAGAAATAAATTAATTCTTTGCTCTGGAACCTGGGCTACATAGGATTCTCTTGATTCTTGAAATTTTTATTTCAATTCTTTTAGTTAGTTATTATAGTGTATTAATAGTAAATTCCTTCTTACATTAAGTCGAACAGAATTACTAATAAAGGCAGCTTAGAGGGTTCTAATTAATTTAAGATCCATATAAGTTAAGGGTTTTGATGCTTAAATATTATCTCACACTGCATGTGATGTATTTACTAACCATTCCTTCCAATGATGGAACAACATCAGGGCAGTGGGAATGGTTTGTACAAGGTGTCGGTGAAAGAAGGGGTTGCATTGTCTGTAGAGAAATATTATCAATAATAAAATCAATTCTTTGTCAGGCTACTTTGTTTAGTTTTTTTGTGCTGATAATCATAACATTACTTATTATAAATTATTTCCTGAAAGAAATAACTTTTGATAGATCATCTTCTAAGAAAACTGTTGCAGTTATTGCTGATCGTGTGTGTGTGTGTGTGTATAATTAAACTTTTAATTAGTCCATTGTGTTACTTATACTTTAGTAAAAGTCATATTCCATGTGATATTAGTTTGGAGAACTCCCACTAATACAGTGAGCTCCCAACATACCAAGCTTAGCTACATGAGTCTCCTCAGAGAATTAGTTCATAATAGTCAGAATTATATTCCTGCATTTAAATAGTAAATTGGATATAAACAACAATAACATCGGAACTGTAAATATGAGGAAGCAGAACTTTAATTACTTCAATTAAATCATTATATGTGCATAGCATCCTTAAACCTTGTAGAATGCAATCTTTGGAAGTGTTTGGCATTTGTATTTAAGTCCTTTTTATAAAAACACATTAATGTAATAATACATATTAACATGTTACTTCTTCCTATATCCTCTAGTAAAAGATTTCTTTACTTTTAATTATATATATTTCTTAACTTCTAAAATTGTTTATTCATTTTATTTTTACTTGCATTTTTACTTACAACTTCAATAAAAAAAGTCCATAGCTATTATTTGTCTTATTTCATGATTATTATCAAAGAATCTGGTTAAAAATGATCTAGTAACAATTGTCCTGCTCTTCCTTCCCTAAGAAACTCAAGTTATGGAGTGGGGATGGTAGAAAGGGTTTATATATATGAATGATATATTTTTCTTTACAATGTATAGACATATATTAAGTAAGATAAAAGTGTGTTGTTGCTGATGAAACACAAATTTTATTATTTTTCTCTTAAATTTCTTACTGAGTCAGTAAAATTCTAATATTTCAATATTTTATAGCTAACTACTATTTTCAAAATGGTATGGGTATTTGTTCTCATTTCTATCTCCTTTATTTCTATTTTCTATAAGTTGCTTCTACAAAAGCTTTTAAAAAAGGAAAAATGGCCACCAGCACCTGTCTTGAGAGGCAAGATCTTATCACTGACAGCTAATCAATAAAAACAAATGAAAAGTAATAACGTCAGACTTGAGAAGTAAGGTTTTTATTCCTAGCCTGAAGCAAGGGTTCACCAATATGCTAAAATCAATCAATCTTTCCTTCAGACCGAACCTAAATCCTAATCGTTAAATCTTTAAAAGTGCCATATGCAGAGCACCCTGCTGCTTGCACTCAGAGTACAAAATAGAACAGACTGTCACTGCTGTTGTTTTCCCCCTCGGGCCCTCATAACCAAGACAGATCACCGCGCAGGATAACAACTGACCCCGAGAGTAGAGGGAGCAAAGCATCCGCACAACTTTTCTTGCTAAGCAGATTATAAGCAACCCCCTTGCACCCACTGTGATGAAAGTCATTCCGAGCATTCTGAGAAGCAGGCAGTAAGTTGACTAAATGCAAAGCTGGATGGTGATCAAATACGCTGCAAGTAACGGTCAAAGGGCTGGGAGGGGGCTTGCATATGCGTCATAATCTATCACCAATAGGATAGAAAGCAGAATGCCTGTCTTTGCTGGAAATTGTGTATTTCATCAACCAAGAGAAAATAAGTCATAAAAGCTACCAAATAATGTTTTCAATTTCTTTTGTATACGCAGCTTGCATAATTTGATTTTTTCAAATGTTAGGAAACCATTATTCTCTTCATGTATCTTAATTCTGCTTAATCATGAATAGTCCCTGAACTTTGTCCTTAAGTAGACTGTCACAGAATTTTCCTAATAATCCAACACAGTTAATTAGAATATCAATGAACCTGAAAAAGGTGAGAGTGTGCACTATAAAATAAGATATTTGGCAAAATTAACAAGACATAGATTCTTATAAGAGCTCCACAAATACTTTATTCAGCGTGGGAAAACTAAATGAAGACCCTGCATGGAAAGAGAGTCCAGAACTATATTTACCTCACTTCTAACACTTCCATGTGGTCAACATTACCTCTGTGACACCAGGCTACATGTCACTTTCCTGAATTTAGAATACATAGAATAGATTCTGAGAATTAGAGAGTATTGGATTACTGGAGCACACCACCATAGCTGGGTAATTTTTGTATTTTTTGTAGAGACAGGGTTTCACCATATTGCCCAGGCTGGTCTCAAACTCCTGGACTCAAGCAATCTGCCTGCCTCAGCCTCGAAAAGTGCTGGGATTAGAGGTGTGAGCCATCATGCCAGGCCCTGATTTTATTATGCCTTTATTATGAAGCAGCTGTGTCCAAGAAAGGGTAAGAACCTTGGGCAGAGTCATAAGACTTGATTTTTCTTGTCTTTTTTTTTTTTTTTTTTTTTTTTTTGAGAGGGAGTCTTGCTCTTTCGTCAGGCTGGAGTGCAGTGGCCCGATCTCAGCTCACTGCAACCTCCGCCTCCCGGGTTCAGCGATTCTCCTGCGTCAGCCTCCTGAGTAGCTGGGACTACAGGCGCCCGCCACCATGCCCAGCTAATTTTTTATGTTTTTAGTAGAGACGGGATTTCACCATGTTGGCCAGGATGGTCTCAATCGGCTGACCTCGTTATTTGCCCGCCGAGGCCTCCCAAAGTGCTGGGATTACAGGAGTGAGCCATCGCACCCTGCCTTTTTTTGTTTTTTGTTTTTTTTCTATTTTTAGACAGAGTCTCGCTCTGTCTCCCAGGCTGGAGTGCAGTGGCGCGATCTCGGCTCACTGCAACCTCCTCCTCCGGGGTTCAAACTATTCTCCTGCCTCAGCTTCCTGAGTAGCTGGGACTACAGGCGCTTGCCATCACGCCTGGCTAAGTTTTGGTGTATTGTTTTAGTAGAGACGGGGTTTCACCGTGTTACCCAGGATAGTCTCAGTCTCCTGACCTCGTGATCCGCTGGTCTCGGCCTCCCTAAGTGCTAGGATTAGAGGCGCAAGCCAACGTGCCTGGCCAAGTTTCATTTTTAATAGTTACCTGCAATCAAACAGACCTAAATTTATTATCTAGATTGTTAGCTCAATCCCTAAATCCCTCCCTCCCTCCCTCCCTCCCTTCTTCCTCCCTTCCTCCCTCCCTCCTTCCCTCCTTGCCTCCCTTCCTTCTTTCCTAGCTAATTTATCCACGTATTTCTAGTTTGTACAGAAAGACAAAGTGCTCACATTGACCTATTACTTACCATTGATTCTACTTGATTAAACTTTGCTCAGGTTTTTCTCCTCCTTCTAGGCTCCCGAACTTTGGCTCACCCCCAAGCTTAAGTACCTAGGTAGATGCCTAAGACCCTTCCTTAAAGGCTTATTCCAAGAATCAGTTGACTAGGGGGGAAAGTTTTTGTTAACCATAGTTATGCCACCTGCTCAACTCTACCTGCTCATTCCACTCCCCCACTAGTTCCTGCTAGTCCTCCGTTATACTTCCCTATGAAAGAAAAGCCTTTGCTTTCTGTTTAATCTTGAGACATCTATAGACCTTATAATTGTTCTCCCTGTTGTAATAAACATTTGGAATAGTCTCTGTTTACGTCTAGATTTGTTGTTTATTTGACAGTAATAAATATCAAAAGCTATATTTTCAAAAAGAAAGCTTATTTTAAAGGAGTCGTTCTTACCCAATAAGGACCATCTTCTACCTTCATCCCTTTTCATATTCCTATAGTATGAGTTTTGCATTTTCAGTTTACTAAAACTGCTCTCTTCAAGCTCCTAGAAGGCTGTCTCAGAAACTTATTCTCTATCCCCAAACTGCTTGAACTCTTCCTATATGTCTATGCTTTAGCCAACCTTTTTTATAATATATATCTTAGCTTTCATAAGGATAATATTTCTCTTTCTTTCTTGTAGATATATCTAAAAATATAGTATACCAAGACATTCAATCTTCATTCATCTCTGTGTCTCTTCTACTAAGAGTTTTCTAATTTTTGTAATTGATTGTATTTCTTCTTTTTCATAGATAAATCATAATTGTTTTTCATCTAGTGTTTCCATCTAAGAAGTATTTATTTTTTGATACTTCCCTGGGATATCAAATTGATAGCCTGATATCTTGGTAGATAAACACATAGTGTATATGCGGATTCTCATTCCAAAGTTTCAACCATTTAAGTAACAATGATGATAGTTGCATAAAAATAAGTTAACATACGCAAACTGCTGAATGAACTTAAGTAATTTACAGTAAGAAATTGCTCAAAATCCCTTCTGAAAGCTCATAATTTTTACAATGAGGTGATGAATTTGTTATGAATTATATATACACAATCTCATCTTTTCCTTGAAGTAACTAACAACATGAATTTTAAAAGGGATTATCATAGTTAAGGATACGGTTTATGATAATAATTTTGTCTCTGTACACTGTTAACTGAAACTCACATGGTCTGCTTTTTTAAAGGAGTTAATCAGTGACTAGAAAAGTAAGAAAACAATTTTTGCTAAGTTTTCTCATGAGCTTAACCATGATGCATGAATACGGCTGCAAAGCAGGTGTTTAAAACAGAGATGACAGTTAACATGTATTATACAAGGTGCGCTCCTGAAAACAAATTGCAAAGATCAGCTAATGAAATGAGGCAATAGTGAAAAAGAAATATAGACAAAACAAGAGTCTAATACTTATATCTAACATAGTATAATTTTAGTGAACATTGTCAAATAGTAAAAAGTGGATAATTTTATTTTGTTAAAAAATGGCAAAAATAAGAATAATATTGTGGTCATATATCTGTGCACTGAGATACAAAGTAGAAAAATTAAAATGAGTAATTGATAAGTTAGACATTCTAGAATGAGATAGTCACATATATTTTCACTTAAAAATACCATGTATTAAACCTCTGAGGCATAAAATATAAAATTTTTAAAATCTGTACAAATTTATTTTACTCATTATACCCTTCCTATTCACCCTTTATTTCTACTTCTATTTATCCTCTCTTTCACCAGCCAAATATCCTGAAACATCAACTTATATTTTAGATTTTCACTTTCTTATTTCATATTCACTTCTTAATCATTATAAAATTTTCATGGTTGTCTCCTTTTCCTTTTTTAAAACTTTATTCATAACTCCATATCTCTATTACCCCCTTCAGCAATGATGCTTCCAATATATAACTTCTCTTCAGACCTCTCTATTAAGTGTCTAAAGTACATTTTCAGTTTAGAAAACTACTAATTAAAAATCTTACACAAATCCAGATATAACTGAACATCCTAACCATCATTTTTCCTTCACTTCTGTTCTATGGTTTATTCGGTTTCCTAAGTCATTATTTGGAGTCATTACTACTATTTCCTCTCCTACTCTTCTCATATTCCATTAATCATGAGGCCCCATTTTCACTTTTCACTGTCTCCAGTTTCCTTTCCTCCATTCATCCTATTATTCTTGTTTTAATCCATGACCACAACTTCCTTTCTTCTAGACTTTGCATAAATTCAGCCTCTGCTATCACATTAATGTTTCTTAAAAGCATAATGACCACATCATCATTTGATGCTTAAAATCCTTATCTGCCTACATTGTCATTATGAGCCTTGAGGATGAGATTATATATTTTTATTGTTTATGATTTTGCACACTGAATAAAATGTAACAATTGCTTAATAATCTTTTTTCTTCTTTTTAGTAACATTACCATAATCTTATTGGTACTCACAGTCCAGTTAAAATAGGGGACAATTAGAACCCATATACAAAGATTCAGGTTTTCACAGGGCAGGCATTTCCAGTAAAGGCAAGAATTTTTCAGTAGCAGGAATATTTGCTTGGTGGATAAATTACTGCAAAAATTCCAAGAGAGAGAAATATTAATATTTGGAAGATATGGGCCTCTGCCAAATGTAAGGAAGATAATACAAATTAGGGTAGAAGAAACCGCAATCTGTCCTGTTATCTGAACAGTTATGTGGGTAATTTTGTATTTCTACTGCAAGTAATTCACCTTTTCATTTATTTAATAAATACTTATTTTTATTATTTCTCAGTCACTATTCTAAGGATGAAAATTCATTAAGGAAACAGTATACAAATATACAAACATCTCTATACTCTTGGAGATTTCATACTTCAGTGGAAGGAGGAAGATATTTGAGTAAAGAGTAGAGGATTTAATGGAGTAGAACCATAGAATATTGGGGTAGGGTGAGGTAGGGAAGATCACCCAAACTAGAGGGAATAGAAAAAACGTCAAGTAGCAGTGTGCCTGGTATGCAATGACTAGAGAGACCAGTGAGGATGGAGAAATAGGAAAGTAAAAATAACTTGCTTAGTATTAGATCTTTTGGATTAAAACCTCAGAATACAGGACCTCAAGATCATTGACTTGGAAATGTAGATACTTAGATGCTTCTCCTTTCAGGCCCTTTGTCCTGGGATATAATTGGAAATGTTCTAAAGAATCAACTGTTATGATTTTAAAAGAAAATAACACCAAAAGAACTAAATGCAAACATTAGATGTGAGGATTATAATGCAGGAATTTGTCTTGTTGGAAGGGAGGAGTTTGTTGTTAGAATACTGTAGTGTATGTGTGTGTGTGCATATATATATATATGTATATATATGTATACATATGTATACATATATATGTATATATGTGTGTATATATATAAAATTAGTCATTTTATATATATATACACACAGTTTCAGTGATAAATAATTGCAGTTCTGGGAAGAAATAAAATATTAAATTATAAAGGATTTGCTTCACACAGATTTGGAAGATACACACGCACACACACATACTACATACACATATATATACATATATAAAATACTGATGAATTTTCATCCTTAGAGTAAAGCTTGAGAAATAATAATATATATATACACACACATACACATTATATATATACACATATATAAAATACTGTGGTGTGTGTGTGTGTTTATGTGTGTATCTTCCAAATCTGTGTGAAGCAAATCCTTTATAATTTAATATTTTATTTCTTCCCAGAACTGCTTTTTAAAAATTATTTATCATTGAAACTTCCACTAGTAACTCAGAGTAGATATTTTTGGTCACATTCTTCTCCTCTCATATATAACTGCTATAGCAGCTTGTCTTATGGATTTGTAATATATACATTTTAAATATAATTCTTAGTTTGGGGAACAGTTAAGGATACGTGTAGTTAAGCTCACAATGCATATTAAGTAACTTTGGTAACCAAACTATAAAGAGCACACTACTCACTGCTTTCTAAATTGCATTCTCTGCTAAACACATAAGCTAATACTCAAAGGCACCGTAAAATGCGTATCTATGTTTAACAGAATACTGTCCTTTTACATAATTGGAGTAGATTTTCACAATGTGCTGTAAAAAATTCTTATTAGTCAAAATACGTCAAACACTGCCTGTCCTAAGTGTCCAAATTTTGAGCACATTGAGACACTTCTGTGAACAAACAAGATATAATGACTAATTTTATTTTCCCCTTATAGATATTATAGAGCATGGAATGAAAATTTTTATGGAAGGGGTGGGTGAATAATAATATTTTGAGAACACTCCCACAGAAAAGTAAACTGAAGAAAATAGTTGGGTGTTTTACATTAAGCAGTTCATAAACTAGAGACAAACTAAAGGCCACCTTGGAGGTCTAAGTGTCAAGACGGCAGAAAGGAAAATAAGTTTTATTTATCATTATTCTTATTTTTGCAGACCATGTGTCAGAGGAATTGTCCCTTGCATGACTTTTTCCATTTATGAAAGTTATTTATATCTATAAGAAAATGTTACTTTTAAAAGTAAGGTAATTTTTTATGTGCTGCTTAAGGAAAGAATGTTGTTTTGGAGAACGGTAGAGAGCTCTCTGGCTTATCAAGTCTATCATCTTGCATATACCACTGTGGCTCTTGAGATGAGGACACAAATAATAGATATGAGGATTTCAGTGGAACTCTGAAGACAAGGATTAACTTCTACCTCCAGCAAAGCAGACAAGAGAACACCAAGGAGACTGATTTTCATATGGATATTTTACCATGCTACACGTAAGTAATCTTGTAGACAATGTCCTCACAATTTATCTTTCTTTCCCTCATTTACTGTGAGCTTTGTGACCTGCAGTTTAAAATATTTGCCCTCTTTGGAGATTTATGCTTAGAATGAAATTTTGTTTTGTCATATCATATGACATTGATTTAAAAAGCCATGTATTTCAAACTTTCTCCTTTTAACATTTCTTATTACAGCATATTTTAAAATGACTCTGCTGGATCTATATAATATTATGTTGTTCTTACATGGTTTTTGCACATTATTACAAATTAAAGTATATTTTAAAATTGATTCCAGTTCCCAGCGACAGCTCATGTAATTAAAATTCAAGTTTCTGTAGTACCTATAGCACTGACTTTGTAAAATGTCACATGGGCATCAGCTACTATTTATTAATACTTGTTTTTCAGTTAACAGTCAGCTGTGACAACAACTTTGATGCCAATGCCAACAGCAGATTATTGTGTATTATCTTATTGACATTGCCAGAATTTGGTATTCCTGTGTATATATATTTGGCTTATGACTGCGCATATTTGTGGAGGTCATTTTGTACAAATTTTATTTGAAAAGATTCCGTCTTAGTATGAGTAGGCAGTTTCAAATTTCCACACCTCATAAATCATTCATACACTCACGTCTTGTCCATTTCTGTTGTATTTATTTAGCACCGTGATGCGGTGGTCAGCATTATTGAAAGGACAAAGGTTCTTTGTCATAAGGGAGACAAGTCCTGGAATGAAAGTTTGTAATCATAATGTTGGAGCTTCTTCAAAAGTAGAGATTAATTCAAATGACTTCATTGTCAGGAAAGTTATTATTATGAACACTAAATTCCATTTGTGACTGGACTTTACATCAGAAAAAGGTGATGATCAAAATAGCATTCTGTTAATTTTTATTCCTAATTAATCTTGTATTAGCAAGCTTTTGTACTAGTAAAAATCAAGCTAAGCCACAGTAATAAAAATCACTAAATAATACGTGCTAATTTTTCATACTAAATATGTTGTATCCGTTTTGAAAGACATTGTTTTATTTTTCCAGAAGCACAGTTGCCCATAGAATGTTGAACAGTACCTCAATGAATGAATTTGATTTAGGTTAAGGTTAAAATCTTTATCGATGCTTAGCAATGAGGCATCATCAAAAGTTCTTTTAAAACATGCTAAGAAACATTATGGCCATTTAAAAGAAAAAGAAGTCTTTTTTCTATAAAGAATGTATATCACATTGATTTCCAAATCACATAGAGTAGTTATTAGATAGGCGCGATGCATGATGCTCTGTCTACCCTTCTTATTGTAATAAATATATCAAATTTTAAACCACTTTTTGTGGGATCTTATCAAAAGAATGCTAATAATGTGGAATGGCTCAATCAAAGACTTCATGCAGTTACTAACTTATAAAAACTAATTTTTCATTTTTCTCTTTTGGCTGAATATTGATGACAGAATAAACACATTTTACACAAAACAACATATGATATTACCTGTTCCCTATGCAGTTACTTTTATAAAGTAACTTCTAAATATAACAATACAAATTGGATTTTAAATAACATCTAATAGCATGGTAAATGATGACATAATTATTTTATTCAAATTATATATTATTTATTTTATTATTAGAAGCATAATTATTTTTAATTTTAAAAAGTCACAACTTACATAAAAGGTTTTTTCAGAACTCCTTCATTGAATTTACCTTAGACAATAAAAAAATACATTAAAACCTACACAATTAAATACATATTAAAACATACTTTTTTAAACATCTGGATATAGAATAGTTTGCATGAACTTTTCCTTTCTGTTAAAACACTGATATCGTTATACTAAACAATAAAGTAAATGAAGATAGTTCCAAATACAACTCTAATGTAATATTAATATTTATATTTGATTTACACATTTTGAAATTATAACTCACTTTAAGAATGATAATTCTAGCAACAATATAGAGGGGGGTACAAATGTGTTTAAAGCTTATGAAAGGAAGTAATCAAGTACCTGAAAATTGTGTATCAGGGCCCGCAAGGTGGGAGAAGTTATGCTAAGTGCTGAGCAAGACAGACATGGCTCATACCTTTGCAGTCATCCAAGACTATAAGAAAAACATATATTTAGAAATACAATATGAAGACAGTGCTGATTTCAAGATGATGTTGCTAGGGATTCTAACATAGCATGTGGCTTGCAATACTCTCACTTATTAGGTTGCTTTTCAGGTGAGTCTTAAAAATGTAAAAGAGTTGATTAATAGAGAAAAGCGTCCAGGCATAGGTTAGGGGCAGTACTCCTGGAAATAAGAATTGCATTATGCAGTTGTTTTGAGGTTTAAGAAGGAAATAGGAAGTTCAAGGTAACCAAAAATACATTTTACATCAGCTGAGTTTGTATTGTGGGACACAGATATGATATCCGAGGTCTGCTAATAGAGAAGCTACAGAAGATGGTGGTTGTTGTAAGTCACATTAAGATATATGAAATTTATGCTATGAGATAAGAAGCCAGCAAATATTTTAAGTAGAAGAATCAGATTTATATTTTTGTAAGATCACTATGGCTACGTTGTTTGAGAATCGTTGGAGAAAACTATGAATGGAAGCTAGTAAAATGGTTGAGACAAAAATTACGAGACCTTGATTTGAAAACGTTAAAAAAAAAAGCACTAGAAAGTAAGTTGATTGAGGTAATTGACTGTTTCTTTCCTAGGACTGCCATAACAAAGGAGGAGAAACTGATGTCTTAAAACAACACACATTTATTATATAATAGTTCTGGAGGTTAAAATTTAAAAATTAAGGAGTCAGTAGGCACATGCTCTCTCTGAAGCATCTAGGAATGAATCATTTTCGTGTCCTTTTCCAGCTTCTGCGGTTTGCTGGGAATCCTTGGTTTTCATTTGCTTGCAGCTATGTAATGATATTCTTTGTCTCCATCGTCACATAAAACTTTTCCCTCTGTGTCTCTGCCTCTTCTCTTTTTTTGTATGGATGCCAGTCATATTAGGTTTAGTGCATATTCCAGTATAAAATCATCTTAACTAATTATATCTGCAAATTACCCTGTGTCCAAATTTCACATGCTGAGGTACTAGGGCAAAGGACTTCAAAATATATATTTTTGGTGATACAGTTCAAACCACTACAGTTACCAGTGTGGGGATAATGAGAATGAGGGAAATCTGTTTCTGACCAATCCAAATGGTGCTTTATCTCTACACAATAGGAATATTGGAAAATAATTTTATATGTTTTTATATGTTTCTGAAATATATTTTAGTGTTTTATGTATTGACAACCATATTTTCTGTGATAACTCCTTTAATGGATACTACATTGTGGCAGTTAAGCTTCATTTTTCAAGCAGGATACTTTCATCAGCTGGTAATGAAAATCTGCTTGACTAGAGCTTATTATACAGTTGACACATATGACACAGAGCTGACACACAGCTGACACCATTTGACACCCATTTGAGATCTTTCACTCTCTTATACATTCCTCTCCAAACACTGTCATTGCTTAATGGAATAAAATTAACTTTTTCATTACATTTTCTTTTATAATTGTAATAATTATCCTTTTTCAGCAGGAAAAGTTATTTTTTTTTTAGTATTGTCAGGTTGTCCACTTTTATTTTTCACATTTTTTATTATTGTGAAGGAAGCTACACCTTCATTCATGTAATCTTATAAGTATCATGTATTTTCTAACTTTTTAAGCACATTTTTGTAAATATTTACTTAAACCTAATTTTTACCCTAATTAGAAAAAAAGATAGAAGTATAGGCTTGTTGATAACTGTGTATCATCAGTAAAATTATGAAGCCTGTTTGGAACTATCAGAGGGAATATGGTTCATATGTTTTCTTTCTTGTTGCCATTTTTCAAATGAAGACCAAATTAATATTTTACTGTGTTATATTTTGAATATTAGAAATACTACAACTACAAAAGGAGACTGATATAAGTGTTTTGTATTGGCAATGAAAATCCATAAACATATCTGCTATTGGAGGATTATTTTTCCTAGTGATGAGTAAATATTGTTACATAACATAATTAAAATCATCATTTGATTTATATGATTGCTGCATTCCCCAAAATACACTGTTTATTAAACACATATATAAATGTTTCAAATATATGTATATTTGTGTATATATGTAGTCATATAAATATATGAATTGGCTTCTAAGTACAGATAAAGGGAATTTCTTCTAGATTAATGTGTGATGGCATATTTAAAAAGTTGTTTAGAAAAAAAAATTTGTTTTTCAGGAATATCTCAAGAAGTTAAGGGAATTCGGATTCTGGCCAAGATATAGTAATACGGACCAGATTTAACCTTCTAAAGTAACTTTAAAAATGGTGAAAACCTATTCTAAAATAATATTCCTATATTGCATATCAAGCATCTCAAAATCGTCATTCCTAAGGAGGAGAAATAAATAAGGTACACCTTATAGAATTCCCAACTTACTGCCTAGAGAAAGCATTCAGGCTCCAAAGAGAAAGGGAAACCATGGTGGCCTCCCTGGGTTGAGATGCTGTTGTTAATCTGGGGCTGGCAAGAGTTTTAAAATTTTCAGGGCAGAGTGCTAAAGAACAGAGAGCTGCAGAGAGAGAAAGCAATAAAGACCTTCAGAAAGTGTTCCTGGAGTACTCAACCATAAATCAGAGCATGCACGTAACAAAACAAAGGCTAAAGATTGAAGAAGGAACATTTTATGACTCATCCTAGGGTTTAGAAATGCTTTCTTTTTTTTTTCTAGACAAAATGTTAACATCTTTAATCATAAATGAACTCTTCAGAAATCAGTACAAAGAGACTAACATTACAAGGGAAGTGAAAATAAAAGGAACAGAGGAAAATGGAATAGCACAAATGAGTTATAAGGCTATACGAAGATGATGTAGTTAACATTAATAGCTGAGAAAGCAATTTCATTATAAATTATATTATCGATCCTTACAAATATTGATTATCTGATGTTTGTACAGCTTTAGGAAATAAAGAATTCTCAAATACTGTGGAAACTTATTAGAGTCATGGGGAGTTTACTCAATAATGTAGATTTTTGCATAAACTTGGCCCCAGCAGTTCCAAACCACAGGAATCACCCCAACAAAGTAATTAGATACACACCCACACACATACACATACATGTTTACTACATAGAAAATGTATAAGTAATATATCATCCCCCCAAAACTACTTATGTATCAACTGGTTTATAAAAAATTGGCTGTGGGGTAGAAGTAGAGAAAAGGCACTTAAGTAAAAATACTACATTTCACAAAATTCTATGTCCTTTGAATTCTTATGAAACATTTTTAATGAATCAATTTTATATTTACCCTGTGATTAGTGAAAATTATAAATATATGCACTTCATACTTATGAAAGCACTGAGATGAAGCCCTTTAAGAGAAATGCTTTCATTTCAAAACCAAATTTGATCATTACACATTGTATGCTTGTATTGAAATATTACTTGTACCTCATAAATATGTACAACTATTTACATTGATAAAAAGTTTAAAATTTATAATATAAGATTGAAGTTTTCTTCAAAATCTCTCATGAACATACTTGGAAAAATTATGTCAATATTCTAGCAAATCAAATTGTGTGTGTGCGTGTTTATGGGAAACAACATGAATACGGGGGGTTAGCTAAGGAATACATTTGCTTTAGAATTCTGAAATTAAAAAATATGATTCACCATATTAGCAAACTATACAAGATAACATTTGTGAGCGTTATAGTAGATGCAGAAAAGCATCTGATAAAAGTCAGCATTCATTCCTGATAAAATTCATATCAAACTATGGAAGATACCTTTGTCAACCTGGTAGAGGACATCTACTGATACAAAGTAACTGCAGCTAATATAACTTCATGATGGAAAACTAGATATTTTTCCACCCGTGTAAATATATCAATTGTTTCAACTTTTCTTCAACATTGTAATTGAGGGTTTTCCCAGTGCAGTTAGTCAAGAAAAAGAAATGAATATAATCGGGATTATAAATGAACATATTTACATCTAGGTTGTAAATGAATTATCTTTAATCACAGATGAATCATTGATTCAGAAAGTCCTCTGGGGTGGGCAGGATATTTAGAAAACAATCTTCAAAGTGGCATTAATGTATGAAATACTTAAGAGATAAAATTTAAATTTTTTCTCAAAATCTTTATATTGAAAGGGATAAAACATCACTGAGAGACATTGAAAAGAAACTACACTATGGAGAGATATACAATGATCATGGATCAGCTAACTCAACATTGCTTAGACGTCAGTTCTTACAAAACTGATATCTAGAATCAACACAACCCAGTAAAAATGCAATGAAGTATTTTTGTAGAAATCAATGAGCTGATTTTAATATTATATGTAAATTCAAAGTGTGTCCAGAATTGGTGGGTTCTTGGTCTCACTGACTTCAAGAATGAAGCTGCAGACCCTTGTGGTGAGTGTTACAGCTCTTAAAGATGGTGTGTCTGGAGTTTCTTCCTTCTGATGTTCAGACGTGTTGCTGACTGCAGGAGTGAAGCTGCAGACCTTCCAGGTGACTATTACAGCTCTTAAAGGAAGTGCGTCCGGAGTTGCTCGTTCCTCCTGGTGGGTTCGTTGTTCAGGAGTGAAGCTGCAGACCTTCGAGTTTAGTGTTACAGCTCATGAAGGCAGTGTGGACCCAAAGAGAGACCAGCAGGAAAATTTATTGTGAAGAGTAAAAGAAAAAAGCTTCACAGCATGCAAGGAGACCCAAGTGGGTTGGAACTGTAGGTGCTGGTTGCCAGCTTTTATTCCCTTATCTGGCTCCACCCACATCCTGCTGATTGGTCCATTTTACAGAGAGCTGATTGGTCCATTTTACAGAGAGCTGATCGTTTTGACAGAGTGCTGATTGGTGCGTTTACAAACCTTTAGCTAGACACAGAGTGCTGATAGGTATGTTTACAATCCTTTAGCTGGACACAAAAGTTCTCCAAGTCCCCACTGGATTAGCTAGACACAGAGCACTGATTGGTGTGTTTATAAACCTTGAGCTAGACACAGAGTGCTGATTGGTGCATCCACAAACCCGGAGCTAGACACAGAGTTCTGGAGGTGCATATACAATCCTCCAGCTAGACATAAAAGTTCTCCAAGTCCCCACCCAACTCTGGAGCCCTGCTGGCTTCACCTAGGGCGTCCCGCGCTGGGGCCCTAGGTGGAGCTGTCCGCCAGTGCTGCGCCGGGCCTCCGCACTCCTCAGGCCTTGGGCAGTGATGGGACCGGGCGCCGCAGAGCAGGGAGCGGTGCCCCTCGGAGAGGCTGGGGCCCGCACCGGTGGGGAGGGGCTCGGGCATGGCGAGCTGCAGGTCCCGAGCCCTGGCCCTCAGGGAGGCCGCTGAGGCCCAGCGAGAATTCAAGCAGGGCGCGGGCGGGCGGGCAGTGCTGTGGAACCCAGTGCACCCTCCGCGGCTGCTGGCCCCGGTGCTAAGCCCCTCACTGTCCGTCGCCGGCCTCTCCAAGTGCAGGGCCTGCGAAGACCCGCGCGTAGCCCCGGTTCCCGCCCGCGCCTCTGCCTCCACACTTCCCCATGAGCCGAGGGAGCCGGCTCCGGCCTCGGCCAGTCACAGAGAGAGGCCCCCACAGCGCAGCGCCGGGCTGAAGGGCTCCTCAAGCGCGCCAAAGTGGACGCCCAGGCCGAGGAGGTGCCGAGAGCGAGTGACGGCTGCTAGCATGTTGTCACCTCTCATAAGGATCATGAATAGCCATAAATCTTCGAAACCTAAGAACCAAATTGGAAGCCAGGTACTACTAATTTTTAAAATGTATTGTAAAGCTACGGTAATCAAGATAGTGTGAGATAAATGCAAAGGTAGACTAACAGCTTGATAGAGCAGAACAGTCTCTACACGTTTGGTTAATTTGATGAGAAGAAAAGTATCAGTTCAAAGGGGAAACAAAATAATATTTTCACCAAATATGCTGAAAAAGTTGGGACTCCTTTTGCAAAAGAGAGAGAGAAAGAAAAGAAAAAAAAAACCCAAAGTGTTCCCTACTACCCTCTTCACTACCACCTTCAAAATTTAGGTGATCTTCATGTGGACTTCAAATAAATGAAAACAAGGCTCTGAGGTTCATCATCTATCCTCTTCACAATCGTTATTGTACCACCAAATATGCTCCTTTCACATTTATTTATTTTGATTCCCAAAAGATGACTATCTTTTTGATGTTCCGCTGTGTCATTCCTAATTCCCCTTGGAGAAAGTCAATGGCACTGTTTGGAAAGAAAACCTGGCAATTGTTAAAGATACTTTGTAGTTACACATGAATGGTTGTGTTTGCTTTCATTTAATGAGAAATAAAACAGACTTGCTTTCAATATTTGGGGGGTAATTGTGAGGAAATGGGGAAAATGGAAGCCATTGGTTGACATCCTTCAGGGCTTCCCTTCCCACTCTAGTTCCATCTTATACTTGTGTGTGCACAACTCCGTGCACATGTTCAAACTCTGTCCTCATCCCACACAAACATCTGATCCTTAGACATGACTTGGATCTAAGGAAATGCATGCGTGAAGTAGAGTTAGCCTTTGTGAGAACAGACAAGGAATTATTCAGCAAAATTCATGAGAGTGGGCTCTGGGTCAACAGTCCCAGGTATCTGGAGTGTGATCTGGTAGATTTGGGTAGATACATTTCTATGGTCCAGTGCATTTCAGGAGCCCACTGCTGTAATGCGCCTAGGGCAGGGGCCCTGGTTGTCTGAGATTAACATGCGCTTCTGATCACTTCACCAGAGTGGGGGTGTTTGGAGGCTAAAGCACTAGCCAGAAATAGAATATAGCCTTGTGGAAGGCCATATGTGTGAGACGCGATGTTCAAAATAGCGTAGTGAGAAGGAAATACTATTGTGACAGGCATTTCTTTCTTTTCAGATTATACCACAGTTATGAAACATCATAATTGCTATTGTGCCTCATTTATTTTAGTTAATGTCTTAACACTTTAAGCTCCTGAAGTATAAGGAACATGTCTTAGCTGGGCTTTGTATTTCTTTTCCTACCTTATAATTTTTAAATATTCCTGAATGCTGTCTAGCACAACAGTGTAGAAATTATATCTATAATTTATATATGTGTGTGCTTGTCAAGGTGTTATGGGTTGAATTTTTCCCTCCTCACTGCAAATTGGTTTGTTGAAGTCCTAATCCTCAGTACTTTAAAATGTGACCTTATTTGTATATAGTTTTATGTAGGGGTTTTACAGAGGTAACTGAATTAAAATGAGGTAATTAGGGTGGGTCATAATCTACTATGGCTAGTGTCCTTATAAAGAGAGGAAATTTGGGGGACACTGAGGTATACATACAGGGAGAATGTCTTAGGACATAAAGAAGGCCATCAACAAGAATAGGACAGAGGCCAGGAACAGATTCATGCCTCACAGCCCTCAGAAGGAACCAACCCTGCCTACCCCTTGTTCTCATACTGCTAGCCCCACAATTGTGTTCTGTCATCCTTAAATTCTATTTTTATTTTTTCAGCTACCCACTTGTGCACTTTATTATGACAGCCCTAGCAAAGTAATATAACTTGTATGTTTTACTTAACTGTGATATGAAACTGACTTTTTTACTGGAAAGTGATATTGAATTAATATAAATTATTCACTTGAAATTCAGATTATGTGATCAACCCAATTTCTGAGAAATATGTGAAAACAAGAGAAATAAAATAAGACCTGAAATGTAAAAGTTCACAATGTGTCTTGAATATAATGTGAATACATACATAGCACTTTTAGCTGTTAGATAAGGACATTTCAGTAGGAGATAATTAAAATTTGTGGATAATTATTTCAGTGGCTGTTGTCTCAATTCTTTCAATGATGGTATATACTTAGTACCATTCTAGATGTCTAGGAGAAAAGTTAATTAATTACTTATAATGGATGCCTTCAGGTGCTGAAATCCCTCCCAGAACCTCATTGAGAAGTGCTGATTTTAATATGCTTTATCCATTTAAGTATGATGATTTCATAGCAAAGTATTAAAAATAATAGTTTGTTAACTGTTCTTCTATTTTATAGAATTTACAGAATTACCTGTACTGTTAGTTTATAAATTATATTTCTTTATAATCACATAATTAATGACTTTTTCATTTCCATATTTATTTCAATAGTAAATACACATATTTCTGAACAGAGGGTAAAGAAATGTTTCAACAATTCAAATTGTCATTTATTCACAAAGGTCATGCCTCATATTTGCAATATCTTTAGGACACATATTTGGCTTCTTTGTAACTGTTTTATAAATTGATCAATTGAATTTCCTCCCAATCCTTGTCTTTTCTGAGAACTAACCTTGCTTAATAAACAGAAATGCACATTGAGCAAAAACCAAGTAAATGAGATTGTAATTTTTGCACTATTATGCTTTTTTCCTCTGTTGAAATGGCTGATTATGATGTACAAAAAAGTACATCAAGCAAAAACCAAGTAGATGAGATTGTAATTTTTGTACTATTATGCTTTTTTTCCTGAGATGAAATGGTTGATTATGGTCTGTCCTTGTGTTCCCATTAGCATATGCTTTATATGCAGTAAAGAACAAAGATTTTTAAATCTTATTCACCTTCTTAATGCTCCAAAAGTGTACAAGCACTATATATAATATATATGTATATATAGAATATGCAGTCAGCTACACTGCAATTGAAATATCCTTTGCATCTTTTTATTTTTAATCTTATTCTTATTCACACCTTGAAGGTTATGGCTCATTGTACCAGGTTTGTGAAGGGAATAATGATAGATATAGGGAAATTCATTCTGGCATTCTGAATAATACTGTTCAAAGCTGTCTTGCAGAACTATTTAATTATGTGAGTGTGTGTATGTGTGTGTTGTGTCTATTGAAATTGCCAGTACATTTTAACTAATTCTCCTTGTGCCTTCTTAATACAAACTAATTACAGGTATGTAAACAATTATCCAACACAGTTTTCCAATACTTTTGTAATTCATTAAAGCATCGGAGGACAAACACTATTTTGCATCGTGTAATATTGTTGGACTGATATATTTTAAAAATTGAAATTCTAATATTGAATTTTCTATGATTTCAGGAGGGTCTTTAGCTTCTGTAAGTCATTAGCATTTTCGTACATCTGCCACTAAACCACTCAGCTCCTGGGATCACTGTCCACATTGCTACAACTGTGGGGATTACTTGTCAACCTCCTCAAGGGTTTGGCATGATCTCTGAGCAAACATGCTATATTACAGCCTCCCCAAATAAATATTTTCCATATCCTTTCTCATCTCTATGTGCTATATTGTGAGCTGGGGTAGAACAATTTAAAATAATTTTCTTAGTAAAATATGCACACTGGATGTTTATCTCACTAGTTTTTGATTTGAAGACGTATTAAATTCTCAGTTAAAAATAAGTAAGAAGAATGCTATAATGGGTCTAATGATAGGTGAAAATATGATAGCAATGGCTGAAAAAATGAATAACTTTTGTTAATACCTATAAATTACATACACAGAAACTCATTTTTGTTTTCATAGAAATTATTTCTATATGAGATAAAATCATTTGCAATATATACAACTCCATGTTTACTTTTTTATTTTTTTTCTCAGTGTCTTTTGCTCAGTAGAAGTTGCAATTATTATTATTATTATTAATTTTTTTTTTGAGACGGAGTCTTGCACTGTCGCCCAGGCTGGAGTGCACTGACACCATCTCGGCTCAATGCAAGCTCCGCCTCCTGGGTTTATGCCATTCTCCTGCCTCAGCCTCCCGAGTAGCTAGGACTACAGGGGCCCACCACCACACTGAGGTAATTTTTGTATTTTTAGTAGAGACGGGGTTTCAGCTTGTTAGCCAGGATGGTCTCGATCTCCTGACCTCGTGATCCGCGCACCTCGGCCTCCCAAAGTGCTGGGATTATGGGCATGAGCCACCGCGCCCAGCCAGAAGTTGCAATTTTTAAGTCAAATTTATAATTTCTTTTTCTTTTTCGTTTTTTTTTTTGTTGTTGTTAGATGGAGTCTCGCTCTATCACCCAGGCTGGAGTACAGTGGCACAATCTTGGCTAACTGCAGCCTCCACCTCCTAGGTTCAAGCGATTCTCCTGCTTCAGCCTCCCGAGTAGCCCACCACCACGCCTGGCTAATTTTTGTATTTTCAGTAGAGACAGTGTTTCACCATGTTGGCCAGGCTGGTCTTGAACTCCTGACGTTAGGCCCGCCTCTGCCTCCCAAAGTGCTGGGATTACAGGCGTGAGCCTCCGTGCATGGTTAATGCTTTTCAGTGTCTCTGCTAAGAAATCTTTACTTCCCTCAAATATTCTTCTATGTTACCTTATGAAATCTTTATGATTTTAGCTATTCTATTTAAGTTGACTATTCATATTAAATTAACTTAGTGCATGGTGTGACATGGGATATCAAAGTCCATTATTTCTCTTTAAAGTTATTATCCAATTGCTATAGCTGCATTTATTAGAAGACTTTTATTTCTGCATTATGTGGAGAAATATATTTTCCTTTTTGTCAAAAATCAACTGACCGTATGTGTTTGAGTCTTGTTCTGGACCCTCTATTCTGTTGTATAGAAAGACTTGAGCAATATTTTATACATAACAGCCTAAATCTAAAATTGTTCCAAATGTCTACTAACAGGAAAGTGAATAAACAATTATACTATTGTCAGGAAATGGACTATGAATTAGTAAAAACAGGAAAAGACTATTAGTATATGTACAACATGTATACATTTCAAAAGCTCTAAGTTGAATAATAATCAAGATACCCACATAACACATAAAGGATGATTCCACTGATAAAAAATAAAAAAGATAAAACTAATCTATTATTTTGAATCGAATAGTTATTGCCTATGAGGATTGAGGATTGACAGAGAGGAGCATAACATCTATTTCTTCATTAGCATATTGGTTACATTGGTGAATATGTTTTTACAAATTGACCAAATGGTACAATTAAAATCTGTACCTTTTTTGCATGTACTTTTTATCTGAATGCAGAAACTCTTGATTTCTAGTTCAGAAAGGGAGTAGAAGTTAAAACTGCACATTGCTGAGACAGAAGTTCCTAGTCCAGGAACAATCAATGAAAGATTTTGCTTCTGAGGAGGGATCCTATTGCTTTATTCCTAGCAGCATGTCTGAGCCTATCTTCCTCCACGAATCCAGGATTTTGTTTTATTTGACATTTATAAAGTATTCCTTACTTCTTGTTTCCTGTAAAAAGTGTAATATGGAGTTATTCTTTAGCCAAATATATTATGATCTGTGGGAGAGCTGTTTCATATACGTATATTTAAGACAGAGATATAAAATAGAGGCAGATAACTTCTGTAAAGAGAAAGTATTTTAGTCTTTGCAGGCAATATGGTTTCTATCACAAATACTCACCACCGCCACTGTGGCAAGAAAGAAGCCATAGAGAATATTTAAATGAGAGTGACAGTTTTACTATCAAAAGTTATCTATAAATGGAGAAACTTGAATTTTATATTATTTGATTTTTTAAATATTTAAAATGTAAAAACAATAACAAAAACATCCTAACTCTTGGACAATACAAAAACAAATAGAGGACCAGATACGTCCTGAAGGTCATAGTTTGCCTACCCCTGATATAGATTATAGCATAAATGTTGTTACTATTGTGTTTCCATGACATTTTATAAAACAGAGCCATTTAATTTATACATTTAACTATTTTAAATACCTATGTTTCCTTTGGGAGGCCAAGGCAGGTGGATTACCTGAGGTCAGGAGTTCAAGACCAGCCTGACCAACATGATGAAACACTGTCTCTACTAAAAATACAAAAAAATTAGCCAGGTGCGGCGGCAGGCACCTGTAATCCCAGCTACTCAGAAGGCTGAGGTAGGAGAATCGCTTGAACCCAGGAGGCGGAGGTTTCAATAAGCTGACATCGTGCCATTGCACTCCAGCCTGGGCGACAAGAAGCTAAACTCCATCTCAAAAAAAACAAAACAAAACAAAAACTATATTCTTAGCTATATAGGTCAGTGTACAAAATTTCTTGTGCACTATATCTTCACTGTAGTTTGGCTAGTTTCAAAAATAAGATAACCACTGATTTTTTTTAAACTTTCTAAAGTTCTATTTTATCTGATATTAATATCATGCATTTAATATTTTTCTTTCCTGAATTTTGTTTGCTCAAATTTTGAACATGAATTTTGTAAGTTACATAGTTAAATAATGCACTTTTGGAATAAAGTGTGAATCATTTTATTTGCTTTCTTTTTTAAAATTTTATTTTAATTTAAGGGGTACAAGTGCAGGTTTGTTACATAGGTAAACTTGTCTCATGGGAGTTTGTTATACACATTATTTCATCACCCAGGTATTATGCCTAGTACCCATTAGTTATTTTTCATGATCCTCTCCTTCCTCACACTCTCTATCCTCCAAAAGGCCCCAACATGTGTTGTTTCCTTCTATGTGTCCATGTGTTCTCACCATTTATCTCCCACTTATGAGTGAGAACGTGAGGTTATTTGGTTTTCTCTCCCTGTGTTAGTTTGCTAAGGATAATGGCCTCCATCTCCATCCACGTCACTACAAAGGATATGTTCGTGTTCTTTTTTATGGCTGCATGTATTCCATGGTATATATGTACCGCATTCTTTATTCAGCCTATCATTGATGGGCATTTAGATTGGCTCCATGACTTTGCTTTGTTAATAGTGCTGCAATGAGCACACACATGGATGTTTCTTTATAATAGCATGATTTATAGTCCCTATAAGTTCCTTATAGGTGCTGAATACTAGACCTTAGTCAGATGGATAGTTTCCAAAAGTTTTCTTCCATTCTGTAGGCTGTCTGTTTAGTCTGTTGATAGTTTCTTTTGCTATGCAGAAGCCCTTTAGCGTAATTAGATCACATTTGTCAATTTTGAGTTTTGTTTCAATTGCCTTTGGTGTCTTTGTCATTAAATATTTGCCTGTGCCTAGGCAAAGCCTGGTATTGCCTGGGTTCTATTACAGAGTTTTTATAGTTACTGGTTTTTCATTTAAGTCTTTAATCTATCTTGAGTAAGTTGTTATATGTGGTGTAAAGAAATGGTCCAGTTTCAATCAGCATATGGCTAGCCAGTTATCCCAGCACCATTTATTGAATAGGGAATCCTTTCCCCATTGCTTGTTTTTGTCAGCTGTGTCAAAGATCAGATGACTGTAGGTGTGTGGCCTTATTTCGGGGCTCTCTATTCTGTTCCACTGGTCTATGTGTCTGTTTTTGTACCAGTACCATGCTGTTTTGATTACCGTATCCTTGTAGTATTGTTTGAAGTTGGGTAGCATGATGCCTCCAGCTTTGTTCGTTTTGTTTAGTATTCCCTTGGATGTTTGGGCTCTTTTTTGTTCTATTTGGGCTCTTTTTTGGTTCCATATGAATTTTAAAATAGTTTTCTCTAGTTCTGTGAAGAATGTCAATGGTAGTTTAATAGGAATTACATGAATCTATTAATTACTTTGGGCAGCATGGCCATTTTAACAATATTGATTCTTCCTATCCATGAGCATAGAACATTTTTTCCTTTGATTGTGTTAGCTCTGATTTCTCTGAGCAGTGCTTTGTAGGTCTCTGTAGAGATATTTTGCCTCCCTTTTATTTTATTCTATTTGTGGCAATTATGAATGGGAGTTTTTTCCTGATTTGGCTGTTGACTTGACTGTTCTTGGTGTATAGGAATGCTAGTGATTTTTACACATTGATATTGTATCCTGAGAATTTGCTGAAGTTGTTCAGCTGCTTAAGAAGCTTTTGGGCTGAGATTGTGGAGTTTTCCAGGTATAGAATCTTTCCATCTGTAAAATGGGGTAGTTTGACTTCCTCTCTTCTTATTTGGATGCGCTTTCTTTCTTTCTCTTGCCTGATTGCCCTAGCCAGAACTTTCAATACTATGCTGAATAGGAGTGGTGAGACAAGGCATCCTTGTCTTGTGCCAGTTTTTAAGGAGAATGCTTCTGGCTTTTACCCATTCAGTATGAGGTTGACTGTGAGTTTGTCATATATGGCTCCTATTATTTTGAAGTATGTTACTTCAATACCTAGTTTATTCAAAGTTTTTAACATTAATGGATGTTAAATTTTATTGAAAGCCTTTTCTGCATCTGTTGAGATAGTCATGTGACTTTTGTCTTTAGTTCTATTTATGTGATGACTCACATTTATTGATTTGCATATGTTGAACCAAGCTTACATCCCAGGGATGAAACCTGCTTGGTCATGGTGAATAAGCTTTTTGATGTGCTTGCTGCTGGATTTGGTTATTATGCATGGATGTTCATTAAGGATATTGGCCTGAAGTTTTCTTTGCAAATACAGTTGTGAAAACCATAATATCTTTATCTTCTCTCTTGTTTTATGCTTTGAATTTGTTTTCATTCTGTTAATTCTTTTACTACATGTTGATATATGATTTCTACAGTGTTTTAATTTTCTTTAACAATATGAAAGAAGTTCATGGTCTTACTTTGTGTGTGCACTTTACTTTTCAGGTTTACATATATAACTGGGATGTATTATTTACTATTTAAAATTATGATTTTCAAATTTCCAAAAATATTTACTACTTACCTGTATAAAAATAACTGTTCTTTATGTACTTCTTGTTTTGCGTGATTTAAGATTAAAGAAACAGAGACATTTATTCCTTTTGTTTTATTCATTATCATTATAAATAATTATTTTGGGTATTAGGTTTTTCTATAACTTTTACAACAATTGTTGTGGCTTAGATATATTTTTAAATATTATCATTGTACACTGTCAGCCCTTTTTTGTATGGCTTCTTAATTTTAATTGTTTTATCTTGAATTATCTCCCATTTTCAGTAAATAATTTACTATAGGTAATTTTTTACTTCTTCACGTACCTCACTTCTTATATACTCAACTCCTCTTAATAGGGTTCTCTTCTTACAGTTTCTTTGATAGTTCTCCTGTCAACATAATCAATTTTCACATATTGGTACAAGTCCATTTTGGGGGGTAATTTGGTTTTATCTATTATTTGGTTAGAGTCACTCTGTAAAAACAGTAGCACTTTTCTTACTGGAACACTATATTCTCTTGACTCTTGTGGATCTAATTTCTAATACACTCCCATCTCATATGCTGCTCAATTTTTGAGTACTTTTTTCTTCCTAACTGCTCAAGTTCTAAAATTTGAAATGGCATAGGGCTTAGATCTCAATATGCTTCTCTGTCTCATTCTCTCTCTTTTCCTCTTTCATGTCTCCAAAGTGATTTTTTGTCCATTTCAATGGCTTTCAATGCCATAATAAGGCCATGACTGTCCATTTGCTGTCTCCAGCTCTGACCTTCATTTCTGAGGACTATAATCCAAGATTCACTAAGTGTTTAATTGATAAATCCAGTTAGATATCTAACATGCATTTCATGTTTAGCATGACCAAAGCTGACTTCTGGGCTGAGTTCACAATGGCATCCCCATTCCCCCACTTTGCACTTAAATGATGCACCACTTACTCAACGAAATTAAAATATATAAATTTCTCTGAGTATTTTTTCTTTTCTTACCCCCTCTAACAAACATCACTAACTTAGCATTAGCTTTCCAATGACTTCCCATTTTATGTGAAATAATGGCCACATTCTTACATAACTTAGCATCAATTAACCTCTCTGGCATATATAAAAAATCTGTTGTTCTTGACACTTCTTTTCAGGTCACTAGTTTTGCTCTCAATCTCTCTAAAACATCAATATTGTTATGGGTTTTGGATTTCTAAAACTGTACCCCAGTTTTTCATTTTGCCTGAAACACTTTCATCTGGTTTCCTTATGACTCATTTCTTCCTAATACTCATTGTTCCACCTAAATGTTAGCTCTTTTTTAACCTATCTTCTGTCCACCCTAAAGAAAGGTAAAATTCCCCAATACATCATAGCACTCTGTAAATTCTCTATGCAATATTATTAATTACCTATTTTTCTTTTACATTCACATTTGATTATTTATTGTCTGACTCTTCTAATTATAACATAAACCCTGAGGTCAGAGCCCTTTTTTTCTGAGTATTGAGTTATTTTGCCTAGGATAATGCCTAGTGATAGGCAATCAATATCTGTTTAATGTATGAGTATATTCTACTCTTTTAATAAAAATATTGAGCAGTAATGCTTCTAATGAAATATTTTAAAACAACTCACATTGTATTTTCATCTGACGTAACTCCAGAGGTGTATAATTACCTTATGAGTTAGAATCTGTCATTTTTGAACTATTTGTAAATGAAGGAATTAAGATAATATCATATCCACCTCATGAATAGTAGTCCTGACTACTCCCTGTTTTCTTAGTTTTCATATGTCTTAATTCCACTTAGCAGAGTCAGCTGCATAAGCTCACATCTTCTCTTACATTATCTAGACACTTGTAGAACTATTATACTCTGGCTCAAAAAAGATAGCTTGTCTTAAAAAAAAAAGCAATAATGTTCTTTCAAAAGTATATGTCTATAAACAGATGACCCCATGCTATGCTTCTGTGTATTGAAAAAGCATTACCAACACATCTGATAGAATCTTTATGCCACACCCAACAGTTTTTATTTTCTAGTTATGAACTATCAGTAAGAAGCCATTAAAAATATTACAATATAATGTTATTCTATAAAAATTGTATGATAACATGTGATTGCCTATAATATTTGACAACCATACTTGTCATCACAAAAAGAAATACAAATAAGATCCACAAAAGAAAATATGACTTTGAAGTTTTAAAAAACGTATTTTCTTGCATTGAGACAGATTCTTCAATGTGCCTTTAGTAAAAAGGGATATTGAGTGCTAAAATGCACAATATTTTAAATGTCATTCCTTAAAAATATGTAAATATATACAGATTCAATTTCATGTTTTTTACTTTAGCATTCAAGATTGCATAATAGCGGCCGGGCTTGGTGGCTCACGCTTCTAATCCCAGCACCTTGGGAGGCCGAGGTGGGCAGATCACGAGGTCAGGAAATCGAGACCATCCTGGCTAACACGGTGAAACCCCGTCTCCACTAAAAAATACAAAAAACTTAGCTGGGCGTAGTGGCGGGCACCTGTAGTCCCAAATACTCGGGAGGCTTAGGCAGGAGAATGGTGTGAACCCGAGAGGCAGAGCTTGCAGTGAACCGAGATCACGCCACTGCACTCCAGCCTGGGCGACAGAGCAAGACTCCGTCTCAAAAAAAAAAAAAAAAGATTGCATAATACCAAGGCCAAACATAGTAAAATTCATCCATTGAAGGAACAGAGTATAGAGTCTGAGGAAAGTAAATTTCTGATTCCTCACAATGATGGCTGGAATATACAAAAATGAGAGATTGATATTTTTAAGGCAATATTTTCCCCTTTTCTCCCCCCAATCTTAGCATGTAGGAAGAACTGAAGAACCAAGTTAAAATTCTCATTATCTGTAATAAGCCCCAATACCAATTAAGTCCAGGTCTCAGTGTGCAATATTTAGTGAAGCACATGGTAATATGAATTACAAAACAAAAGATACCTCTTTCCTGTGAAACTGAGTAATTTTAAGAGAACAGAATTTTCATTTTTTGTATTACCAAGATTATTAATTGGTATCATGGTAGGAGGTGTATATGTCTCTACATACTTACAGACTCCAGGACATACAACTATTGGTTTCTTCTAGGTAATATGCCTAAAACCCAAATCTCATACCACTTCACTAGTGTCATCATAAAACATACTATAGCTTACAATATGTTAATCTTTTAAATAAAAGTATTAACAAGATGCAAAGAATCACTTTTGTATGCCTTTGACACATTAAATTATGAAATGCGTATCTTAAATTTCTTCAATAAAATCACATATTAGATAATTTTAACAATTTAATTAATATAAAGCATAGCATGTTTTTCAAAGGTTTTGTCAAATAATTTTAAAATTACATTTGTTCTTTTAAAATTTGCAAATGAATTTATTTGGCGTAAAGCATTTGGTATCTAAGAAAAAAATGTAAGCAGTGTTATATTTAACATTTATCTAATTAAAAAGTAATGTGAATAAGATAAACAAATGCAACATGAGAACACAAAAATGTTCAAGTATATATTATGCATAGTTCTAATTTCCTCTCTAAATGTTAAGTACTATCCGTATATTTTACATGCAACAAACACTGGTGTGTGCTTGCTAATATACTTCTGAAATGACATTTTCTTAGTGTGACCCTTCTTTCTAACAATAACTTACATTTTAATTAAATCAGACCATTTTCATTACATGCCAGATATCTTTGTGTGCTATGTTATCATCCTCCTTTGGCAGAACTGATAGTTAAAGGTCATGAACTTAAAAAGTTATTAACAGAATTGGTAATTTATGAGAAAATGATATGTGCATGGTAGTTTTTCTTTCAGAAAAAAATGCAATGTACTAATGTTTGAATAGATTTAAAACAAATAATATAAGAGAAAGATGATTTAGTCATAAAAAAGTAAAATTTGAAAGTTTGCCTCTGCAGAATTCTGAGTTTATGATATCTCTTCACATTTTCAGCTTTCTAGCTCATTTTTGAAAAAGATGTCACTAAATTTTTGAAGAGCTGAAATTGGTCACAAAAAAAATCATATTCCATTAAGAATGATCTCCAAAAGTAAAGTACAAAAATATATTTAATAATTATTTTCACCAGATTATAATTCCTAATTATAAAAACAAGATGAGAACAAAATTGAATTTAAAAACTATCAATAAAGCCTCTATTGCCCCATTTTCAATTTGTTTTTTGCTGTTTACTTTTAGTTGATATGTAATAATTTTACATATTTGAGGGATACAGTGTGATATTTTGATACATATATACAATATATAATGACCAAATCCAGGTAATTAGCATCTTCATCCCCTCAAACATTTATTATTTCTTTCTGTTGTGAACATTCAGAATTCTCCTTTCTAGATTTTGAAAATTTATGATAAATTGTAGTTAACCATATTTCACCCTACACTTGTGCAGAACACCAGAACTCATTCCTGACCTTTAGCTGAAATGTTTTTATACCCATTAACCACCCTCACGTCCTCCTCAACTCCTCACTATCCTTCCTAGCCTCTGGTAACCATCTTTCTACTCTCTGTCTCCTTGAGGTTGATTGTTTTGATTTTTAGCACCCACAAATAAGTGAGAACATGTGAAGTTTTTCTTTCTATGTCTGATTTATTTCACTTAACAAAATGGCCTCCAGTGCCATCCATGCTGTTGCAAATGATAAGATCTCATTCTTATCTGTGGCTGCACAGTACTCCATTGTGTATATGTATCACATTAGTGGCTGTGTTGAGCCACTAATCTGGGCATAATTTGTTATGCAGCATTGGTAGCCAGAATATAGTATTTAAGAAATTCTGGAAAGAAACAAGAAATTATTCATTTATGGATTATTTATTCATGGATTATTAAGATAGAACTCAGGAAAAAGAGAGGCAAAACAAGGACGGAGAAAGTCTTTCCACCGTATAGTATTTTTATATGTTTGGATGGTTTTATGAATGTGCTTTTCCAAAATAAATAAATAAATAAATAAGAGAAAAACTAAATCTATTAACTAAAGTGTGGGTTGAGGAAAATATATTTTTGTATTTCCTCAGAGGTGGGGCTTTCTGAATATCACTTGCTGAATACTTGGAACCTTTGGCTGACAGCAAGCCTTGGAGAGTTAATTTGCAGCTGTGTAGATAGTGAGAGAACTGCAGAGAAATTTACCTAGCTCTAGAGGTATGTTGATATACTTTGGGGTAAGATGAGGGTTGGGACTTTGGAAACATCTCTAATTTGTAAAAGCCAGTGACTCCAGCACTTATCTAATTCTTAAAGAGGTGGATTTAATTTAAAAATGTTATATAATCTAGGAAACTTTCCATGTCCTTTCTAAGAAGTAAAGGTTTTCTTTTCCTGTTTTTAGGAGGAGGAGGAGAGACTTATACCTCTTTTGCCTATGTATGAGCAGAGGTCATCAATTTTTCTTTCTTCACTTATGGATTTTTTCTGTCACTCATATAGAATATTTTTTCATGTGGTTTTCATTGCATTGCCCTAGTGATAAGGACTAAGGGGACCTTAGCACTTATTATTTGCTATTTGCTCTGATCCAGAGCACCTCATGTGTACATCGAGAATAAAATTAATACAAGTTAATATTTTAAAAAACCTGAGGACATATGTACATTTGATATGATGATATGAATGTAAGTGCACATTAGAAACAAATTTTAGGATAGAAATTATTTCAAGAAGCAAGGCTTATTTGAGATAAGATTGGAGCACCAAAATAAATGCAGAGGTATTAGCATGAGTATTAGGATAAGGGGTGCTCACATCATTGTTTTGTGCCATAATTTATACATGTGTTTTATATTGTTTATACAAAAAATGACATACTCTAAATAAACGTTTATAGTGTGGAGTCAAGCACATGATCTGGGAGGTCCCGTATTTCTCTGAAAAAAAAAAAAAAAATCTTGCACTAGAGAAGTAAGGAAAGATGGAGAATGTGAGTAGTGTTTAGATGTAAGATATATTCTGAAGATGGAGATAATAGCATTTAAAGGTGCACTGAGTAAGCAGAATGACAGAAAAAAAGACCTTAAGAAGTATTTCAATACTTGTGCCTGAACAATTTGTGAATAGTTTTCTAATACACTGCAATAAAAAATAAGAAAAATTTTTATTGCATTTTACATTGAGAAAATTTTACATTGAGAAAATTTCAATTTATTATAGGTCTAATTTTACGAAAACTGAGATAATACTGAATTATAACACTAAAATTTTTTAATTGAACTAGTATTTTAAATTAATATTTCCAAATCTTTTGATTTTTCTTTGGGAAAGAAAGGATGACAAAAACATAAATTTTGGTATTTATAGTAATAATTACTTTTACAAGCCTGTGTTTTAGCTGTAGATGATACATTTGCCTACTGGGTAAATTTTTAAAGCTTTTTAAAATAACGTTAAAAATTGTAGAAATTCCTTTAAAGTTAGCTGCAAATAACGTTAATTGTTTCTATTATAAAATAATATTCTGCTCCAACGAAGTTTGCTTGGAAAGCAAAATACAGATTTAACTTGCACTTACTATCATTTTGCACTATTTCTTTCTAACCCAACCCAATTTTCTTTTTTAAATTCCTCCTTACCAGCCTGCTGGCCAACCTCCTTTTCTCCCTTCCTTCCCTCTTTCACTTCATTATTCCTCTGCTTCTGCATTTGAATGACCTGGATGCTGATAATTTCACCTACAATCCAAATATTAATTGTTATCTACAAATGACGTTTAACAGTAACATTCATATAACAATTTACTATACAGAGTTAAACCGATGGTATATTCTTTTATTTAACAGTCACATCTGCTCTATGATTATATATTGTGTATATTTAACAGATGAGGAAAATAAAACAGTTTAAATAACCTGGTAATCATCACACAGCTAATCATCTTAACTTCAAATGTAGTATTCATTGTACCACAGGAGATGATTTTATGAAAATAGCCATAAATAATTAGGCTTTCCTTTTTCACATTTGGAAAGTCTGGTTTTCATGAATGTTTATTATCATGAATTTCCTAATAAATGTTATATAGATCTAAAGGCCACTTATTTATTATCCTGTCACACAAAGTGGTAATACTGGATTAATTAAATTTTTCTGCTTTGGTTATTTTCACAATTCACAAAGTGTTTCATTATCTTCTTAAGCAAGGTAATTTGAAGGAAATATGTATTCCTTAAATTAAAAAAATAAACATTTATAACCCTAATTGAAGATTTAGTTACATCTTTTAAAACAACTAGGAAATCCTGATTAGATCTTTTCTCAATTTTCTCACGTTGATTTTAATGTCTAGTCCTTATGTTGTAAGTCCAACAAGCAATGAAATGTCACCTTTGACTCTAAAACGGTACTACCACCTATAATAACATAATACAAAAACAATGTAATACAATCCTGATAAAACATAGATAATTCATAACATGATGAAGCTACAGCTAAGTAAAAGTATCTAGACTTCTGAATGTTGCTTCTCAAATATTTTAAATATGTATTTTGCTAATTCAATTAGGCCCCACATTTTTAAAAAAATGATTAGTAGTAAAGCAAAATACTTACAGGTATACCTGTTTGCATGCACATGATATCTCCTAAAATAATACACACACACACACACACACACACACACACACACATCATATTTTCTAAAAGAGTGCCTGCTTTCTTTATATTTTTTCCGTAACATATGCAAGAAATGATATATACCTTGATTATGTGGATTTATATATCACAAAAATGGAAGCAAATGCTGATACAGAAAAATCTCTTCCAGAAAGTTAAGGTTTATATCTTTTTGATTATGAAAAAACAAATAACCTTTAATATTCTAGGTTAGTCATTGTTCTTAGTAGAAACCAATGGTGGGGGGAAAAACTTGTGAACAAAGGAGAAATGTTGCCTACGTAGGCCTAAAAACTGAGGGAACTAATACCTGCTGTGCCATGTGATTTTAGGAATAGAAATGATGCATGTGAAGGGTCTGGCCGACAGAGAATAATCAATAGTATTATTAGTTGGATTACAATATTATATAAATAACAGCTTACAAATGCATTTAGTACCATAATTTAAAAATATAACATATTAAAATATTTTCAAAAGTGTTTACCAAGAATAATCTTCCCAATTATATATAATACAGTCCAATTAATCTATGATGTCTTCATTTTCAACCTTCTAGGTGAATAAAATTTTATACAATTATTTAAAAAGAAGACATACCATCTCTTTCTTGAGTAGCTCGAGATTATAGAAAACTTTAACATAGAAAACTCTTAAAAATCATGTATGTGTATATGTACAACATTCTTAAATCTATAATAAAAATGCACACACTGTAACAGTAAATTGATAGCCGCTAACCTTGTCATTTCCACATACTTAGGTAAGATAGAATAAATGAGTACTGTAATATTTCAGAGTTGAATACTCTCTTGAGAACTGAATACAGTTTTGTTTTCTTGAGGCTTATATTTATTGTCTTATTAGGTATGTCCCGAGTAATAAATACAAAGTGTGAAAATGTATAGAAAAGTTTTATATCCAATCAAAGGAGCTTAAACAAAGATTTCCTTCTCCAGCATAGTAGATTAAAAAAAAATGTAGATATTAAGGTCAATAAACTTCATTTGACGCATATTCCTCAACTTTTAGATTCTGAAAACTGCAACTACCTTATTTGGCAGGATAATCCTTAAAAAAGATTACTGCAACAAACATATTGCAATATGTACACTGAAGTAGGGATTATATGAATCTATATAGTGATTGATTGTGACTACAGACTTGCTAAAAAGAGATTAGAATCCTTTCATAAATATTTTAGCCTCAGTATTGGAAAATCCATTAAATTTGATTCAGTTAGAAAATGTGTGAAATGCTGTTAATAGGAGAATAGTTTGCATTACTGTTCTGGGGGTAATCCTGTTTTAAGATTGATGTATAGATCTGGCAGAATCATAATGCAGTCAGCTCAAGTATTTTCTATGAGGGTGTTTTTTTTCTTTCTGGGAACCTCAGCAATTTATTATACGCAAACCATACATAATTGTAATACATATATTCTAACATCTATGTCAGTATCTATTTATACAACGTCCAAGTTTTCCTCAGTTTCCACTTTGGGTCTGTGCACTCCGTACAATCTACCCAAACCACAATAATTTTACTCTTCTTAATATTTCTAAAGCAAGTATTCTAATGTGTCATTACATAAGTTATTTCATTTTCTTCTTTGGGGAACTTTCTAAATCAGTGTATATTGTGAGCTCTTAGTAGATAACGTGTGGATTATATGGATTTGTGTGTAGTTTTTCTACATATGACTATGCATTAATATGTGTAATATGATATATATGCAACTCTTTAGCCATGATTATTTATTAACTTTTACCTATATATTCCAATTATGTGAGTATTCATACAGACTTCTACATTCAAGAATAAAATACTATAAAAAAATCTATCAAGTCAATTTGAATTAGCCAGTGCCATTTAAATCTTCTGTTTTAATCAACTTATTCTTTCTGATTCTTAGAAAATGGGTACACATTTAGATTCCTTAAGCATGAAGAATAAGTGAAGTGATGTCTATGAAACTTAACATAGTCTTGTTCACATAGCAGATTCTAAAATATGTTGTTATTAGGAAAGGAAGAGGGAAAGTTATAAAGCCAGATTTTTTTTAATTCACAAATAATCTATTTAATAATGAGGTTTTAATGAACTATTAAGCTGTTGGACCACAATTTATATATACTACTACTACTACTACTATTAAATTTTTACCTTGTATTTGATATATAGTATTTTTCTGTAAAGATTTTGTACTTCTAAATGGCTTATTTAGAAAAATTAGATATAATTGTAATTCCCAGTCTTACTATATATTTTTGATATTATATTGACAACAAACATAATAATTCAACAAATGAAACATATGGAGTCTACCTAGGTATTGTATATTCATCACAAATAAAGGCTTCCAGGGAATGCTAATCATTTTACTTGTTAAATGAAATTTACAAAATTATAAAATGTGATTGTCTTCAAAGAATACTGGATGGAGAAAAGAAACTTGATTATGTTTTTGTTTTTGTTAGTTTTTCAGTATTTAACAATTAATTCCAGTTGTCAGAGTGAATGGGAGCCTAAGGAGTTATGAGAGCTAAAGGTCATGTGGTATCCTGGATGGAATTTTTTAACATAAAAAACAAAATGATATGAGGCAAAAACTAAGGAAATCCGAATAAAATATGGACTTCAGTTAATAATGTGTCATTGCCTCTTTGCCTCATTAGTTATAACCAATAAAAATGTTAATACTGGGGGAAACTTGGTGCAGGGTATATAAGAACTCTATATACTATCTCCTCAATATTTGTATAAATGTAATCAGTTTTAAAAAATAAGCCCATTAGGGCTGAGTGTGGTGGCTCACACCTGTAATCCCAGCACTTTGGGAGGCTGAGGCAGGCGTATCTCGAGGTCAGGAGTTTGAGACCAGCCTGGCAACATAGTGAAACCCTGTCTCTACTAAAAATACATAAAAATTAGCTGGGCGTGGTGGTGGGCACCTGTAATCCCAGCTACTTGGGAGGCTGAGGCAGGAGAACCTTTTGAACTCAGGAGTCGGAGGTTGCATGAGCCGAGATCGCACCATTGCACTCCAGCCTGGGTGACAGAGCAAGACTCCATCTCAAAAAGAAAAAAAAAGAAAGAAAAGCCCATTAAAAAGAAAAATAAATAAATTTATTTGTTTCAGGAAACTTATGGATGTTTGAAATATAGTTTATATTTTTATTTCATACAATTAACTATAAATCTGAATGATTTGAAAATTTCACCCAAATGAAATTTCTCATGTAAAGAAAAAGCTTTAACAAGTTTCACATATAAACATGCAACATAGTTTATTTTTTTCAATTGTATTGTCTCATGTAGAATTGTTCTGTAGGATTACAGACACACATTTTTAAATAATATCTAAAGCCAATGTCTTATCTTTATTTTCTTAGCAAAAAAAAAAAACTAGTTTATGTTTGCTGCATGTTCTACACACACACATACACACACACACACACACACACACACACACACACCCTAACCAGAAAATTAAAAACCAATAAATTTGCCTATTTCTTAACTAAAATTTAAAAGTTAATGGAAGCCATATTTAGGGAATCCTATGACCTGAGAAAACATTTCAGATGAGACAGCTGATCCAGAGTAATGCCTTCTAATTCTTTATACTACAGTTTTTAGTTTATGCATTTATTGCATTTGTTGTGAGCATTTTGTAGAATAAGAAAACAACTTTCTCTTGGCACCTTCTGTAAATATTTAGAAAAATCATCACAGACAAAAGGTTTTAAGTGATTTTGAGAATTGATGTTATCTTGAACAGAAAGTAAAGGTAGATATGATTTAAGTACATTCATATAACAGGAAAAAATGGGCTCTTGTCTGTATAATTCTTTCTCCTATATCTAAGAAATAAAGGTAACATGCAATAAATAATGCTGTACTTGAAAAGTATCAGTATGAATGCATGTAAAAGAAATCTTAGTATAAGTGTTGAAGTATCAGTGAAATTGAAAAAATAGACATAATCAATATTTATTTGAATTTTAATATTGGGATATGCTCACTCTTCTTTTCTGTGTGTAGGGGGCCCAAATCTACTCAATGAATCATTCATGCTTCCCTATTAGGAAAGGTGGGTGCAGCTACTGACTGTACCAGCAAGAGTTCAGAAGGCAAAAAAAGAGAGAAGTTGAGAATATTTATGATGTCCACTCTGCAGTCCAACCTCTCTATCTTACTCCATTACCCTCTCTTTTTTGGATTATTCCCATCGGCATATAAACATACTGTCTTCACTTCTGTCTAATTAAAAAAAAAATCTTAATCTCATTTCCTCTGCTGACTACTGTCATATGTTATTGAAACTTTTGTAACAAAATTCGTTAAAGAAGTTGTCTAATTTGCTGTCTACAGTTTCTGTCCATATATTCTTTAATTCATTTCAGTCTGGCTTTGATATCCATGTTGTGAAATCTAGTAACCAATTTTCAAGTCTACCCTTATTTGACCCAGCAACAGTATTTGATGCAGTTAATTGGTCTCCTCTTCTTAACACACTTCCCTCACCTGGCTTCCTTAACACTACTATCTTTCTGGTGTATCCTTATCTTTTTTGTTGTTGTTGTTGTTGAGATGGAGTCCCGTATCTGTCACTCAGGCTGGAGTGCAGTGGTGTGATCGCGGCTCACTGCAACCTCCGCCTCCCGGGTTCAAGCGATTCTCCTGTCTTAGCCTCTCGAATAGCTGGGATTACAGGCGCCTGCCACCATGCCTGGTTAATTTTTTTATTTTTAGTAGAGACAGGGTTTCACCATGTTGGCCAGGCTGGTCTTGATCTCCTGACTTCAGGGTATCCACCTCCCTTGGCCTCCCAAAGTGCTAGGATTACAGGTGTGAGCAAACACGCCCGGCCCCTTATCATTCTTAACAGCTGGTTTCTCTTTTCTCAGAACTCTTAATGCTAGAGTGTTTCGGGATACAGGCCTTAGTCTTCTGTGTTTCACTTTTTCCATGTTTACCATTTTACTGATTTTAACACATTCAGTCAATCTTTTAGACTTTACAATCTCTTTATATATAATTGACTTTCAAATTTACACATATGTGGTTCAGTTCTGTGACCTCAAGTTTAGACTAATAAGCACAATCTCCTATTAGATATTTAAACTTGGCCTTCAAAACTGAACTCATGTCTTATCTTATCCCAGAAACCCAATTCACACATAGTTTCACATGATTTCATTTAATAGTAGCTTTCACATTTCTACTTGCTTTATTTTCCATCTTTTATTCATACTCTACTGAATCCATCAGCAATCCTTCTGGCTTTATCATAAAAATAGATCAAAATCCAGCAGATACCATCCTGATCTCCCGAGATTTCCTTCTTGTTACACGTGTATTTTATTCTCAAGACATTGAGCAGAGCTACTATGGAAATGTGTCAAATGATACACTTAGGGTTTTGCAATTTGCATTGTATATCATTGGGAGGATTATCCCTATAAATAAATAAAAAAGTATTTGTTATATACTGGTTGATGATACTGCAGACAAAAACAATATTATGTTTGCAGATCTACATAATTTAATAACATATGTTGGGCCTAGAAACTCTGTAATAGCTCCAAATTCTACATACACAGTGATCTTAGGGCACTTAGTTTCACCTCCTGCACATGAGAGGACACGTTTCATAAATGATCATGAGAGACATTTGCCCAGTTGTTGGTTGAACACATGAAGAAATAGGAAAATGGGAATGTTTAATTTATTTCCTCTTTTTAGAATACTTGTATGTTAATTTCGTTAATTTAACACATATTTGTTGAGGCATAGATAGCAGGCATATTCACATTGAAAATTCTAGAAGATATGAGCGCATGTGTGTTTTTGGTAGAAAATTTTATTTTATACACCAGACCTCAGTGATATGTAACTTACCCATGTAAGAAATCTTCATGTATATTGCCTGAATGTAAAACAAAGTTGAAAAAAAAGAAAATTCTGTAAAACATTCACAAGTGTGAAAAATATATTCGTAGTTTAGATTAATGCACATTTTTAGGTTTCCTTAAATTACAATACAATTTCTTAACAAATAATGAATATTCCGTCTTCATACCACTTGTTGAAATTATATGGCATGTCTTACCGTTTAGGGAAAGTCATTTTAATTACGCATAGAAAGTAAGTGTGAAAGTACCTTTGTGAAACAAAGGTAATAAAACTAGTAATCCTGTAATTTTGTCCCTAATCTTCAATTTGAACCCAACTCAATTCGAGAGAAACTTTTAGACATGTTGTTGATGAAGCTGTTTATGCTTAAACAGATAATTTATTTAATGCTCCCCCAATCAAGATAGTTAAATGTTCCAATTTACTATATACCGTCTGTTTTATTTCTAAGTTTGAAGCTTAGAATTCTTATGTGGCAAGAGAATGACCTTGCTTTTTCTACAATATTTTTTCTAAGAAAACCCTCTATGCCCTTTACTGTAGTTTATTATATTGACATTGCCAGTCCAGTCAAGTCTCCCTACGAGCCAAAGTGGATGAAAACTTCAAAGTTTTATATTTATATCTTGATTCACTCTGCTTGGATTTATCATGTTATGACAAATGTATTACCAGAGCTTTACCCACTCTGAAGATTCTGATAGTGTTTCATTATGAAATAGAAAATATGTCTACAGGATCATCCAAACACCCTGTGATTGAGAGCAGCCTTTACTAGATATCAGAAGGGCTACATTGTATCACATTGTTGATAGAGCATTTCTATTTTATATCCTTGATTTTTATTTTTATGTAGTGTCTGACCTGTCCCCGATAGCTTTTAAGATGTTGCCCTATCTGTGCTCTTTCCTAATATTGTCATAATATGTCTCTGAATATATTTTGACATAATTTTTGAATTGTATATTTATGAGCATCTGGTAGTTGGTGTAAATGAGATTACTTCAGTGTGTTTTTTTCTGGAAGCTAAAATTACTTTTGTTTTTATTTGTTGTTGTTCTATCTCAATGTTGCTCTTCAAATATACATTGTATTGCAGTTAATTGAATTGAGCAAGAATGCCACATTCAATATCTTTTCAGCTAGAAAGTATTGAGCTCATTGTAGAGATAAATGTTTTACTGGGCAATGTAAAAAAAGTTGTTTACATCAAAGAAAAATAAAAGTGAAGAAAACTAAAGTTACTGACATGAGCAGCAAATGGCATTTATAAATTTAGAGAAAAAAAAGCCTAGGATTATTTTATTTAACTTAACCTTGCCCTATGGTAATAAAAATTGTTTTCCATATGCCCTTGATTGCTATTATCCATCCCTCCAAGATAATTTTAAGAAGCTTATTAAAATATTTCAGGCCGGGCGCGGTGGTTCACGCCTGTAATCCCAACACTTAGGGAGGCTGAGGCGGGCAGATCACGAGGTCAGGAGATCGAGACCATCCTGGCTAACATGGTGAAACCCCATCTCTACTAAAAATACAAAAAAATTAGCCGAGCGTGGTGGTGGGCACCTGTAGTCCCAGCTACTTGTGAGGCTGATGTAGGAGAATGGCATGAATCCGGGAGGCCGAGGTTGCAGTGAGCCGAGATCGCGCCACTGCACTCCAGCCTGGGAGACAGCGAGACTCCGTCTCAAAAAAATAAAAATAAAAAAAATAAATAAATAAAATAAAATATTTCAGAAAAAATAACTCCAGGATAAGTAAATATACAGATGCTTAACTTAAATAAGAAATACTTTTCATTAGATTTTTCAGTTTGGCTATCTGTATAGAATCTTTTTTGACTCTTTATAAATACTCTGTTTTGATATATTTGGAACATTTAGAGAGGTTCAGCTGGTATGATTAAACTCGCAACATCTTTAGTTGGGAGCTGCCACTATCTTAATACAATATTTTAAAACACCATACTACTCTTCATCATTCTTTTGTGACTCAACCTTAAATTGCAGGTGGTATACATGTAGATTGGTAAAGGAGGAAATGTGATTTAATAATCAGATCAATGGAATCAGCCATTTAGTCAGTGAAGTAGTAGACTGCTGAACCAATTATACTCTCCTTTATTCTATTTCCAAAACAAAATAGTTATGTGTTAATTATGAACTTATGATAGGACTTTTATGAATTTAACAAGAATTTAAATTATAAAAGGAAAGACATTAAATAGCATTGAGAAATTGGATAATTTTTATAGATTCTATTCATTTTATAAATTCTAAACTATGATGAATGTTGCACATTATGTTTTAGTTTTATATTTATGTGTGTTTAAATATTCACAAGGTATACAATGCATGGAATTTTAAATCTAGTTTTTCTCTTAATTTAGCTTAAACCATATGCACACTTTTATGTTGCCAAATGAATTTAGGGAAACATTATTAATGGTGGCATTTTGCTGTGTTTCAATCAGGAGACTGATACTTAACCACATGGGCAAATTTTGGAACTAAATCTGGGTAAATCTGTCATATTGCCAGAATCCTAAAAGGGTTGCTATGAAGTTTAAATAAGCTAAAATTTATAAGAAACTAGAGCAATGCTTGACAAATATTATATGGGAATATAAACACAGTGAAAATAATTTTCACCTATCATTATTAGTATGTTTATGCTTATCATATTTACATAGTGAAAATAATTTTCACCTATCATTATTTGTATGTTTATGCTTATCATAGTATTTCCATTACTAAATGAAGCTTTTATTTATTGTATATATTCTATTTTGATTTTATTCTATAAAATTTGAATTACGTTCAAATCTCTTGGTTTTTTATTTCTTAGACTTTTTATTTTTTTGCTATTCCCTCCCATTCTGATGGATCCTTAAAAGTTAAGTGTTACCCTGATTTTAAATCTAGCCTCACTTCTTTATTTATATACTCTCCCTAGAACACATCATACAGCGTTGTGGCTTTAAATGCCATCAATATAATAATAATGTGCAAATTTATATATTTAGTTCCCAATCCTCCCTTGAACCACAGAACCACATATACAACAACTTGTTTATATTTTCATTTGTTTATGCAATCTGCATCCTGAACTTAATGTGTCCAAATAGAATTTTTGTTTGACCTCAACCTCTGCAAGTTACACATTTACCTCAATCTTTCCAAAGTTTGTAAATAGCAATTGAACCACTCCCCACTCAGTTGCTCACTCTGAAAGCCTGGGAGTCATCCTGAGTCTTCCTTAACTTCCACACTTAATTCTTCAAATAGCTTTTGGACTGAAACTCAGAATAATCTGCCCAAAGTGTTCACTTCTTTGCATCTTCACTATTCTCACTGTTGACCAAAGTTTGTATTTTTTACCTAGATTATTGTGATAGCTACTAATTCAATTACCCACTTACACTCTGTCCTCTGGTATACTTCTTATAGTACCCAAAGGGATTTTTTCTTTCCATAGGGAGCTTAGTTTTTTTATTTTTATTTTTATTCTTTATTAAACTTTAAGTTCTGGGATACATGTACAGAATGTGCAGGTTTGTTACATAGTTATACATGTTCAACGGCGGTTTGCTGCACCCATCAATCCGTCATCTACATTAGGTATTTTTCCTAATGATATCCCTCCCCTTGCCACCCACCCCCAACACACCCCGGTGTGTAATGTTCCCCTTCCTGTGCCCATATGCTCTCATTGTTCAACTCCCACTTACGAGTGAAAACATGCAGTGTTTGGTTTTCAGTCCCTGTGTTAGTTTGCTGAGAATGATGGTTTTCAGCTTCATTTATGTCCCTGCAAAGGACATGAACTCATTCTTTTTATGGCTGTGTAGTATTCCATGGTGCATGAGTGCCACATTTTCTTTATCCAGTTTATCATTGATGGACACTTGGGTTGGGTCCAAGCTTTTGCTATTGTAAATAGTGCTGCAATAAACATGTGTGCATGTGTCTTTATAGTAGAATGATTTATAATCCTTTGGGTATATACCCAGTAATGGGATTGCTGGATCAAATGGTATTTCTAGTTCTAGATCCTTGAGGAATCACCACACTGTCTTCCATAATGCTTGAACTAATTTGCACTACCAGCAACGGTGTAAAACCATTCCTATTTCTGCACATCTTCTCCAGCATCTGTTGCTTCCTGTGTTTTTAATGATCACCATTTTAACTAGTGTGAGACTCCCACCAACAGTATAAAAGCTTTCTTATTTCTCCACATCCTCTCCAGCAACTGTTGCTTCCTGTCTTTTTAATGATCGCCATTTTAACTGCTGTGAGATGGTATCTCATTGTGATACTGATTTGCATTTCTCTAATGATCAGCGATGATAAGCTTTATTTTCATATGTTTCTTAGCCACATAAATGTCTTCTTTTGAGAAGTGTCTGTTCATATCCTTGCCCGCTTTTGATGAGGTTGGTTTATTCTTTAAATTTGTTTAAATTCCTTGTTGATTCTGGATATTAGCCCTTTATCAGATGGATAGATTGCAAAAATTTTTTCACATTCTGTAGGTTGCCTGTTCCCTCTGATGATAGTTTCTTTTGCTATGCAGAAGCTCTTTTGTTTAATTAGATCCCATTTGCCAATTTTGGCTTTGTTGCAATTGTTTTTGGTGTTTTAGTCATGAAGTCTTTGTCCATGCCTATGTCCTGAATGGTATTGCCTAGGTTTTCTTCTAGGGTTTTTATGGTTTTAGGTCTTATGTTTGAGTCTTTGATCCATCTTGAATTAATTTGTATATAAAGTGTAAGAAAGGAGTCCAGTTTCAGCTTTCTGCATATGGCTAGCCAGTTTTCTCCACAGCATTTATTAAATAGGGAATCTCCGTTGCTTGTTTTTGTCAAGTTTGTCAAAGATCAGATGGTTGTAGATGTGTGGTGCTATTTCTGAGGCCTCTGTTCTGTTCCATTGGTCTATATCTCTGTTTTGGTACCAGTACCACGCTGTTTTGGTTACTGTAGCCTTGTAGTATAGTTTGAAGTCAGGTAGCATGATGCCTCCAGCTTTGTTCTTTTTGCTTAGGATTGTCTTGGCTATGCGGGCTCTTTTTTGGTTCCATACGAAATTTAAAGTAGTTTTTTTTAACTCTGTGAAAAAAGTCAATTGTAGCTTGATGGGGATAGCATTGAATCTATAAATTAGTTTGGGCAATATGGCCATTTTCACAATACTGATTCTTTCTATCCATGAGCATGGAAGGTTTTTCCATTTGCTTGTGTCCTCTCTTATTCCCTTGAGCATTGGTTGTAGTTCTCCTTGAAGAGGTCCTTCACATCCCTTGTAAGTTGTATTCATAGGTATTTTATTCTCTTCGTAGCAATTGTGATTGGAAGTTCACTCATGATTTGGCTCTCTGTCTATTATTGGTGTATAGGAATGCTTGTGATTTTGCACATTGATTTTGTATCCTGAGACTTTGCCGAAGGTGCTTATCAGCTTAAGGAGATTTTGGGCTGAGATGATGGGGTTTTCTTTATATACAATCATGTCATCTGCGAACAGAGACAATTCTATTTCCTCTCTTCCTATTTGAGTACGCTTTATTTCTTTCTCCTGCCTAATTGCCTTGGCCAGAACTTCCAAAACTATGTTGAATAGGAGTGGTGAGAGAGGGCATCCTTGTCTTGTGCCAGTTTTCAAAGGGAATGCTTCCAGTTTTTGCCCATTCAGTATGATATTGGCTGTGGGTTTGTCATAAATAGCTCTTATTTTGAGATACATCCCACCAGTACCTAGTTTTTAGCTAGGTATTGAGTGTTTTTAGCAAGAAGGACTGTTGAATTATATCGAAGGCCTTTCTGCATCTACTGAGATAATCATGTGGTTTTTGTCATTGGTTCTGTTTATGTGATGGATTATGTTTATTGATTTGCGTATGTTGAACCAGCCTTGCTACCCAGGGATGAAGCCGACTTGATCGTAGTAAATAAGCTTTTTAATGTGCTGCTAGATTCTGTTTGCCAGTATTTTATGGAGGATATTCGCATCAATGTTCCTCAGGGATACTGGCCAGAGATTTTCTCTTTTTGTTGTGTCTCTGCCAGGTTTTGGTATCAGAATGATGCTGGCCTCATAAAATGAGTTAAGGAGAAGACCCTCTTTTTCTATTGTTTGGAATAGTTTTAGAAGGAATGGTACCAGCTCCTTTTTGTACCTCTGGTAGAATTCGGCTGTGAATCCTTCTGGTCCTGGGCATTTTTTGGTTGGTGGGCTATTAATTACTGCCTCAACTTCAGTACTTGTTATTGGTCTATTTCAGGGATTCAACTTCTTCCTAGTTTAGACTTGGGAAGGTGTATGTGTCCAGGAATTTATCTATTTCTTCTAGATTTTCTAGTTTATTTGTATAGAGGTGTTTATAGTATTCTCTGATGGTAGTTTGTATTTCTGTAGGATCAGTGGTGATATACCCCTAAAGAGATATCTTTAATATTAATTTCTCTCTCTTCGTGGTGATCTCTAGGTTTTTTGTTTGGTTTGGTTTTGCGTGTTTTTTTTAATATTAAAAAGGCTATTCTAAGATCTTTATCCTACACGATCTGCTACTGCCTATAATTCAGATCCTATCTGTAATCACTTTTTTCCTGGTTTTGTCATTTAATTGTGACAGCTTTTTTTCTGTCCCTTGAGTATCACATTATGTTAATTGCAACAGGAGGGCCTTTGCACAGTGAGTCACCATATCCTCAAATGGCTAGTTCCATTCTTATTTCAGGTTTCAGCTTAAAGAAGCCCTGCTTTCTGAATTTCATTCATTTTCCTAAGTACTCTCTGAAAGTTCTCTGATTTTGCTTGCTTCAATGGCACCACTTACTGGATTTCATTTATTTCCCTACTTTACACTTTGTTTCTTTTCCTTCTGGGAAGTAAACTGGATAGAGACCCTGTATGTCTTGTTCATTGCTGTTATATTCCCAAAGCTGTGAATAATTCTAAACCATCATAATGACTCAAGATACATCTGAATGAATGAATTCAGAAATTAATATTCACAACAAATCTGTGACTCGTGTAATCATATTTATTGTCATCTTACAGATAACAAAGCTGCAACACAGAAGTAGTAGACAATTCACAGAAAATTATAAAGCCAATAAATGCAAAAGTTAGGGGCAAATCCTGGCAATCTAGAATAAAAACCCAAGATCTTCAATTTTGAACTGTTGGATCCATAAGGACCAAATCAATTTTTTGTTTGCTATGTTATAATGCTGAATTTATATCTTACCATTCTGTCATTAAGATATGTTTTTCCAATTGCCAATTATTTCACCAAATTTCTTATTTTTCCATGATCTGCTTCTCAAAATCTTTAGGTACATTTCTGAAGCAAACAACTTTGGGAATATTTCTTATGTGAAAATTACTCCTAAATAAAACACATTTAAACAAAAAATATTGTAAATGTTTTTCTTAGCTGCATATTAATTAAGTCTAAAAACAAGAAAATGCAGTATTACATTTTGAAAGTAATTTTCAACAACCAACATTATATTTTACATACTGCAAATTTATTAAATATGAATTTAAAAGCTAGGTAAAAATTACCTGTTCCTTCTTACACAATTATTTGAATTCTGTATTTCTCACAGTGAATTTCAGCAGCATAACAATACCTTGGTGTACTTAGAGTTTTAATCCTTACAAATACTACACACATTAGGAAGTAGAAAAGTTGTCAGGAACAATTTATTAAAGATATTAGGGAAAGTGTTTAGCATTTCAAATAATTATATTTCACTGCTGAGGTCATGAGCCTCAAGGAAAATTTTGGCATGCTTTTTTTCCTCATTAATAATTTATTAAATGTGATATATCTTTATCCACTTGGAGAATTCCTGCTGCTAGCTTTATGGTGGTATTTTGCTATAGATGATATTCTTTTTTGTTACATATTTTATTCTTAATTAATATGCAAATATTTCCCAAAGTAAATTACCATATACTCGTGATAAAATGCAACATGTTATTTTAAAAATTAAAATAAGACATATTTAAATGAAATACAGTGCCATCTTCACAGAGAGCTTTTTTTTTTTTTTTTTTTTTTTTTTTTTGAGACGGAGTTTCGCTCTGTCGCCCAGGCTGGAGTGCAGTGGCGCTATCTCGACTCACTGCAAGCTCTGCCTCCCGGGTTCACGCCATTCTCCTGCCTCAGCCTCCCGTGCAGCTGGGACTACAGGCGCGCCCCACCATGCCCGGCTAATTTTTGTATTTTTAGTAGAGACGGGGTTTCACCGTGTTAGCCAGGATGGTCTCGATCTCCTGACCTCGCGATCCGCCCGTCTCGGCCTCCCAAAGTGCTGGGACTACAGGCGTGAGCCACCGCGCCCGGCCCACAGAGAGCTTTAAAAGATATCAGCGTTTAACGTATTTGTCAATTCTGTCATTGTTCAGTTAACCACTCAGGCTGTAACCCTGACCATAGTATCCTTCTAGTCTTGGTATAGAATGTGGCAAGTGATATCAAACTGCTGACATAAACCCTGCTTTGTTATAAGATGTATAAGGATCAGCAGATGTTTTTCTGTTCTGTGCTAAAGTTGAACACCTTCTCCAACTCACATTATCAATATTGCCCTGAACATATTGTTGTTGATTTTAATGCTTAAAGAAAGCTCATCATAATTAAGGTTAATGTAAGAACCTAAAACTTACAGTAAATTTTACTTTACAATCTTTTAAAAAAAATGACATTTTTTCCTGCTTTCAATTTGTCACAATCATTATGTATTTTGATATCAAACATTCTGCACTATAACAAATATCTTTGGCTTCCAGCAAGGGCAAAATTTTGAGACTAATATTACATTTACTATTCTTTTGTCCTTATTTTTTTCAACATTGAATCTCTAACACAAATTAGTATGTTTCAAATCTCTTATCATTGTAATTAATTTGTTCATTATAGTTGAGGATTCATTTCTTCTGTTTTGTACCGCATTATGAATATTTTAATTATAAATAAATCCCATTAAAAGATTCTCTTAACTTTCTGATGAATAGCAATGCTGTTATTTACTTCCTTAATTATATCTTTTTACCTGAATCTTGAAATTTGTTTTTAAAACACTTTGTTCCAAATTATCAGACAAGATTTTTTAGCATTCTAATTTTTTGAACATTTGTTATTATAACATGTTTTACTGTAAAAACATAAACATTTTTCTTCTATTTGGGACCGTGATTCAAACTGAATGAAAAATTAAAATAAAGTGAGTATCTTTGTTTCCAAAATTTTCTTAAATTGGTGTTTGCCAGTGTTTGCATTCGGTCCATCAAAAGATGAATGAGTTCCTGGATTAAATAGAAGTTCCCTTCAATATTTACAATAAGCAATAGCAGATTGAAGTGTTAATAAGATCCTGAAAACTTTTCAACTCATTTTCATCTACACTACCTTAATTTTACTGCTTCTTTACTCTCTTCTCTGATCTTTCCTTGAAGTTTTATTTTCCTCTTCTCTCTTTTCTTTTCTTCTCCTTTCTTTAATTTAAAGCCAATGAACTTTTCACCCACCATTTATTCTATAGGAAACATGAACATTGAAGTCAGACCTGTTGAGATAAAATCTTAGCTCAGTGTTACAGCATGACTGGCTTTAGATTAATTAGTGTTTCTCTCTGAGCTTCAGTTTCCCCATTTGCACATGTACAGTTAAATATTTATTATCTTACTCCTGTATGTCTTGAAAGTAACATAAATGTTTTCAAACTTGCTAAAATGGCACATCTACATCTTAATATATTACAATATTTACTTTTGCGAACCTGTTCCTGAACTCACTTTATGACTACTACATGACTAGTAGGGTACTAAAAGTTTCAAGAACAAAATAGGAAATCATGTTACTGATTTTAAAATTTCTGTTAATAGGAGACAGGTCTAAGTGGGCCAGACTAGGTTTAAGAAAGAAGGGAATAGTAATTTGTAACTTAAAACAAGGGTGTAATTTCAATTTTCCACAGGACTTGGGTAGTAGCATAACAAAGTGTTTAGCAGTGTATCAATCTGGGAATAATAGATAGATAGAAACCACACAGTGGGTTACACAGGGGAAGTTTAGTAGGAAAACTCATGAAAGAGTAACTATAAGATAATTGTATAAGAAAAAATTTTATGGTAAATTAGGGCCAAGAGAAAGTACCAAAGGAAGAATAACGTTGGAAGGAGACCTCCCTCTCAGCCCCAAAGTTCAGTACTCTCTGGAAAATGTGTAGTTCAGTACCTTGGATAGCAGAAGTTTGCTGGATTGTCCAGGCAAGCTGGTCCACAGTCACTGAGCAAGCAGTCAGAAAAGTCTTCCAAGTACAGTTGGAGAATTGATGAGCAGTAATTCATGGCTCAGACATACAGAGGAAGTGGGATGGAGGGGAGCTGTGGAGATAGCTGACTATGGAGAAAGCACTGGTGCACAACAGGACCTGACCAGGCCTTGCTCGGATAGTAAGGGCCAATGGGAGCTCTCCAGGACTGCAGGCAATACATGTATGAGCTTGAAGAGGACAATCAGGGCACTTGTACAAATCAGGAAGCTTTTGAGGCAGTTTTTATATAGAGAGGGCCACACAAAAGGTTACCATCAGTCTATGGCTGAAAGACCACGGAGGGATCATGCTCTGAACACAGGCTGGGACACACTTAGCAGTAAGTTCTCATACCCATACATCTTACCTACTAGAGTAGCCAGAAATCTCAGGAGAACCTGTCTTCCTAAGATTCTTTTATAGTACCCTCTTTTGGGAAAGTTTAACACCTTAATGGTGCTCACTTTAATGGGGAAATACTTTAAAAAATTCCTTCTATTTTTGTAACATATGCTGAAGGGGGAATTTTGAACTGAGAGATTTGATAATTGGCACAAAGGTGGCGATAGCTGAGACATATTTCTTGATGTTACATACCTACATTCTGTGTTCACACTTTGTTTTCTACTGTGTAAACATAACTAGATATGCAACTGCATAGAAGTTGTTCATGACTAATTGCATTCAAAACTGTTTTAACAGTATTTTAGTAGACTTTATATGTTCTAAAATGTCCTTACTTAGGAAAAAATGTTTTGTTACTACTAATAGAGGAGCAGGGCATGAAAAATATTTACTAATGACAAACCTGTAAGGAGTTTACATTCATTTTCTTATTCAGTTCTTAAGACATTGAAGTTGTTATGGACTGAATGTTTGTTTCCACTCAAAATTTATATGTTGAAGCCTTAACCACTCCGCTATGTGATTGTATTTTGAGGTGGGGCTGTTGGGAGGTAATCAGGTTTAGATGAGGCCACGAGGTAAGACCCTTATGAAGGTATTAGTGCCTTTATTGAAAAAAAAAAAAACGGAACGGTTGTTTTTCTCTGTCTATCAGGTGAGGATACAGTGAGAAGGCAGCTGTCTGCCAGGCAGGAAGATGGTTCTCACTAAGAATCATACCTGTTAGCACCTTGTTCTTAGATCTGCCAGCCCCCAGAACTCCGAAAAGTAAATGTCTGTTGTTTAAGCCAACCAGTCCATGCTATTTTGTTTCAACATAATGTAACTAAGACAGAAATCAATAGTCAAAATGTTAAATAACATCTTAAGACCATTACGTAGTAAGGAAGGAAAATAAGGCTAGCTGTTAAAACCACCTGAAGCCACACACCACAGTATACCTCAGTTCTTCAGAGTATACCAAGAAGGAATTAACATACATTGTTCATTATTTGTATTTGCAGCTATCCTTGTTTTCAAAAAAAAAGGGCTTAAAATAACATATTTGTGTTTATTTTCCATTTTTTATCCTGAATTTCACTGAATGTAAGGTCATTCATCAGTACAAAGTAAAACAATATTCATATTTTGCAATAATAGAAATTATATTATAGGGGACATATGCATTCTAAACATGTAAGAAAGGTGACTTGTTTATATCATACTTCAGCCATACTTTTCTTCCTTAACAAGGTGACTTAACATTGTAAAGTTTTGATGCTGTCATTAAAATCCCAGTGAAGCTGTGTTCTTCATTGCTTAATTAGGAAGTCTTTTAATGTAACTGAAGTCCATTGCCACTGATTACTACCCTAATAGATTACTTCTGTGTTCATACTGATTTCTTTAAATATCCTTTGCCTTTAGTGAGATTAAATATTTACTGAGAGGGATGCTGATATTGCTCATCATTTTCTTTTTCAAAAGAAGAATAAAATAGAAAGGAGAAGGAGAAAAAGGAGTGGGAGTAGGAATAGGAAGATAGGGAGGAAGAAAAGAAAGAGAAGGAGGAGGAAGAGGAAAAGGATGAGGGAGAAAGGGAAGAAGAGGGAAAACACAAAAAAAGAGAAAGAAGTGGTAGTTCTGGATATTGTAAATCTCTAACGCAAAAGACTAATTTGGTTGGAGCTGTGGTGAGAATATGATGTAAACTTATATTAAATTCTCTTATAAATCTATGAGGGTACATGTCTTTGAGCATTCTTATGCTTCAGATATGCATTTTTCCTAGAATAATCTGCATATTTTTGACTCTGTACATTTTGGGTGCCATAATATTTCCTTCACCACATAATAAAAGGACACAAATGAAGCAAGGAAATAAAGCAAAGCAAGTAATTGGATAAAAGAGTAAAGAAACATCCATTGAGTATGTATGCTCTTTTAGATTGTAATCCCAAGCCCATAAACAGCTTTCACATTATTTAAATAATTAAACTCTCTCTAATCTATCTGCTATGATTTTAATATGTGCCACCAAAATAGTGTGTTGAAAACTTAACCCCAACCCAATAGCCGTGGGAGTTGGGGACTAACAGGAGGTGTTTAGGTCATGAATGCTCCACCCTCACAAATAGATTAATGCCAATTTAAAAAATGCTTGAGAGTATGAGTTAGATCTTTTGTTCTCTTGCTTTGTGATGCCTTTTTTCGTGTTATAAACAGCAAGAAGGCCCTTGCCAAATGCAGCTTCTTGATCTTAGACTTCTCAGCTTCCGGAAATGTGAGCCAATAAATTTCTGTTTATTATAATTATCCAGGCTCAGGTATTCTGGTATAGCAGCACAAAACGAACTAAGACACAATTGTTCCAACACATATAAAGTGAAGTACTTGTACTAAGTAAAATATGGGTGATTTCTAGTTGAGAATTTTATTATTTGACAGTCACTTGTAAGAACTTTACATAAAAGCTCAACTTATATATCAACAAAGTGAAGTAAAAGTTTATTATGTAGCAGTCATCTTCTGTGGTTATCTCAGTTATTTTAATATTAACACTATTGAGGGAATGATGGTGTCCATTGATTACAAAGCAAAATCTGAGAAAATTTCAATAGAATTTTTTTTTTTTACAATTGGCTCTAAGATAAGGAGAATGCACTTCCCTTTGAAAGTCCAAGTTATGTGACTTTTTCCCCCTAAGGCATTGAGAAAAAATTCAGAAATAGAGAAGACGGAAAGGAACTGACTAAAGATAAAATAAACAGATTTTGTCTACCAAGTTTTTCAGTCTTTCATTTGTTTTGCCAGTGCCAATGTACAAACATACATGCAAAGTGATATCACTAATATAAGACTGTTTTGAGATTTGAATTCAGGTCTCTCAAAATATTACTCTCTTTCTAGTTTTCAAACTATGTTAAATATTCCACCGACATCTGATTCATATTCCATTTTAATACCCAGTATTATTATTTGTATAACTATAATAACAACATAACACTGACCCATAAAAATGTTAACAAGTCAAACTATTATTATACAAAACTTGGAATCAATATTTTCAGCAACAGTTATATATCTTTGTATATATCAATATCTAAGTGTCATTGTATGTACTTGTAGAATTTCTCTGGTGATTTTTAAAAATTCAGTCTTAGATACTGAGTACAAAAAGCTCTGTATGGAAATAAAAAGTATTCTGAGAAGAATTCATATTATTATTATAATATTATTAATTCCTTCTAAGATTTAATCTAGCAACAATTTGGAGCCATCTACAATATGAAAACTACTATTGAACAAAGAGAAAAATGGATATTAAAATAAACATGGGAAAGCATGTAACTATGAGTGGAAATACAGCAAGAAAAGAAACTTCGTAAAACTTTTTTAAATTTTATATTTATAGATTTAGGGGTTAGAAGTGCAGATTTCTTACATGCATATATTGTATAGTGATGAAGTCTGGATTTTTAGTGGACACATTACCCTAATAGCGAACATTGTACCCAACAGGTAAGTTACCATCTCTTACCCCACTCCCACCCTGCTAATTTTTGGAGTCTCCCATGTCTATTTTTTTCACTCTGTATGTCCATTTCTATTTATTATTTAGTTCTCACTTATAAGTGAGAACTTGTGGTATTTGACTTTCTGTTTCTCCGTTATTTCATTTAGGATAATGGCCTCGAGTTTCATCCATGTTGCTGCAGATGCCTTTCTTTGGCTTAGTAGTATTCCATGGTGTGTGTGTGTGTATCACGTTTATTTTATCCAATCCTCCATTCATGGACACTTAGGTTGATTCCATGCCTTTGCTATTGTGAATTATACTTCAATGACCATACAAGTGCTGGTGTCTTTTTGATGTCATGATTTCCCTTGGGTAGATATCCGGTAGTGGGATTGCTGGGTTGAATGATAATTATATTTTTAATTATTTAAAAAATCTTCATATTATTTTCCATAGATGGTGTACTAATTTATAATTCCACTAGAAGTATATAAATGTTTTTTCTCTACACCCTTGTCAACATCTGTTGTTTTTTGACTTTTTATTAATAGCCATTTTGACTGAAGAGGGTATATCCTTATGATTTCAGTTTGCATTTTTCTGATGATGTGATGCTGAAGATGTTTTTCATGTATTTTTTGACCACTTCTCTGTCTTTTTTTGAAAAATAAAACTGTTCATGTCTTTTGCCCACATTTTAATGGAGTCTTCTTTTCTCATTGAATTATTTGAGTTTATTGCAAAACATTAATAATAAAATTAAAAGAAATATTTGTATATCTCAAATATAATGCCTAGAAAATCTTTATACATTGCAAGATCACTTCTATGTCAGCCAACTTAAAAATATCATCTTATAATGCTTAAAGTTACTATTTTTTAATAAAAGGAGTAGTTACATTTGTATTAATAAGTTGTAATATGTTATTTATTATTGCTCCAGCCCCTTCCTGGGTATTAAGATATAAACTGTGGGACTGGAGGTGGTGGCTCATGCCTGTAATCCTAGCACTTTGGGAGGCCAAAGCAGGCCCATCACAAGGTCAGGAGTTCGAGCCCAGCCTGACCAACATGGTGAAACCCTGTCTCTACTAAAAATACAAAAATTAGCCAGGTGTGGAGGCGCACACCTGTAATCCCACCTACTCAGGAGGCTGAGGCAGGAGGATCGCTTGAACCTGGAGGCGGAGGTTGCAGTGAGCAGAGTTTGCGCCACTGCACTCCAGTGTGGGCAACACAGCAAGACTCAATCTCAAAAAAAAGAAAAAAAAAGATAAACTGTGAAAAGATGAAAAGAATGTGAATTCTGGTTTCATCAACCATACTTTCAAATGATAGAAACAAAAGCAATTAATTAAATGATAAACAAAAGCTGTATTTTTCCTCTTAATTTAAAAATTGTTATTTTTGTATTTTTGAGGGATTGCTTATATACAGTAAAATCCACAAACCTTAAGTATACAGTTCTGTGGATTTGTGCACAGATACATGCCACACGTAACCATTAGCCAAATCCAGTTACAGAATATTGTCATCAACTAATAAAAATCATTCAAGATGTATTTTTGAAATTATTCAATAATTTGAATAAATATTCAAACTATTTATTTATAAAATAGTTTTACATTCACAGCAACATGGAGAATAAGATAGAAAGATTTTCCATAACCACCCCTTTGGCCCCACACATCTGTACCCTCTACCCTCACCCATTATCACCATCCCACAGCACAGTAGTACTTTTTTTTTTTATAACTGATGAGTCTATAATACACTGATACATAATGATCACCCAAAGTCAACAGTATACTTTATAGCTGATTCTTAGTGTTGCACATTGTATGTGTTTGAACCAATGTAAAGGACATGTATCCACCATTACAGTAAACATATTTCCCCTGTCCTAAAAATTCTCTGATTCATTTCTCCCTCCCTACTACTAATCTTTTTATTTTCATTCTTTTGTTTTTTCTAGAATGTCATATAGAAGGAATATATAGTATGTAGCCTGTTCAGATTAGCTTCTTTCCTATAGTAGCAGGCATTTAAGTTTCTTTTATGCCTTTTCATGGCTGATAGCTCATTCTTTTTAGTTCTATATCATATTTTGTTGTCTAGATGTACCACTGTTTGTCCATTCAAGTTTTGCCTTTATAAACATGCATGTGCAGATTTTTGTGTGTTCATTAAGTGTTCAGCTCCTGTGGATAGATACCAAGGAGCATGATTGCTAGATAATATGAGAAGAGTATATTTAGTTTTGCAGGAAACCAACCCGTCTTCAAAGTGGCTGCACCATTTTGTATTTCCACCAGCAGTAAATGAAAGTGCTTATTGCTTCATATCTCTGCCATCATTTGGTGTTGTCAGTGTGCTGTATTTTGTCTACTGTAGTAGGTGTTTTATCTACTGCCATCCAACCTTGAATGAGCCTGATCTTGCCTAATAGATGTGCTGTGCTATCCCATTCCTGGCTTTTATTAAATTATTTTTTAATTATACACAGTGTGTATTACTCTACGAATAATTTTAGCATATCAAGAACTTTCATAGACTATAGGTAAATAAATTTGTTTACAAGAATGATGAATAATGAAAATAAAGAGAAAATAGAGGCGAGAAAATGTGATCATTCTAGGAGTGAAATTCATTCACACATCTCAACTGTAGGGATTATATTGTCTTCAGAAGCCTGCGGGTAATATAAATGTGTGAATCATCTAAGTATAAGAAATAGGCTTATGTTAGGCCAATGAGGTATAAAGCATATTATTCCCTTAAGAGTATTCTGATTTATCAGGAAAATAACAAACAAACAAGCAAAATTATGCTGGCAAAGTAAATCAGCTGGCCAGATTCAAACCAGATATTACCAGTTTGTAAACATACTGCACTTCCAACTATGTCCATGTATGAATTCATATGCATATATGATTATAATGATTAATAATTCATTAAGTTTAATAAAATATAAATATCAGTCTTAGTGTATTTTAATCTATGAATGACTGATACTAGCAATAATTCTATATGCATGCTGACACTATTGAAATGTTTATGAATATGCTTTTATAATAAATTTAATATTGTCCTGTGATTATACTTATTTTTTATTTCTATTTTTGTCTTCCACTCTTTTTCTGCCTTTTGGGAGTTTTAACTGAATTTTTTATATGATTCCATTTTCTCACCTTCCATAGCATGTGTTAGTTAGACATCTTTTTTTTTTCCTTTTTTAAGTGGTTTTCTTAGAGTTTACAATCTACATTTACAATTAATCGAAGTCCACTTTCAAAAACACTATGCAATTTCATGGGTAGGGTGACTACCTTATGATAACAAAATAATTCTAATTTTTCCCTCTCATAATACATACCTTTGCTTTAATTCATTTCATTTACATATAAAAATATATAAGCATAAATATGATAATTCTTACTGTGTATGCTTTTAGATATATATGATATAAATAGGCATACATAATCACACGCGTAGTTGCTATTATTATTTTGAATAAATTATTTAAAAGGTCAGTTAAGAATAAGAAAGAATTTTTTCTACCATTACTTATTCCTTCTATAGTGTTCTTCTTTTTTTTATGTAGGTTCATGTTTCTGACCTCTACTACATTTTCCCTTTTTCTGAACAACTTCTTTTAACATTTCTTGCAAGGCAGGATTATTCTCAACTTCTGGAAACAAATAGTCTCAGTTTTTGCTTGTCAGAGAAATCCTGTATTTCTTCTTTGATTTTAGAGGACAATCTAACAAGGTATAGAATTCTAGGGTTGTGTGCGTGTGTGGTGTGTGTGTGTGTGTGTGTTATGAACACGAATTTTTTACTCCACTTGCTTCATGCTTATATAATTGCTGAGGAGAAGAAAGATGGAATTATTATCATTGATTCTCTGTAAGTAAAGTTCTTGTTTTTTTCTTTTTTTCTCCTTTGGCGTTTTTGAGAATTTTCTCTTTATCTTTGATTTTCTGTTGTTTGAAAATGATATATTAAGGTGTAGTTTTTTGGCATTTATTCTACTTGGTGTTCTCTGAACTTCCTGCATCTGTGGTTTGGCGTCTGATGTTAATTTGGTGAAACTGTCAGTGATTGTTGTTTCAAATATTTGTTCTATTCTTTTTTTTTTTTTTTGCTTTCTTTCTTCTTCTGGTATTTCCATGACATGTCGTTCTTCCACAGTCCTTGAATGCACTACTCTTTTCAGTCTTTGTTCTCTTTGCTTTTCATTTTTGATGTTTCTATTGATGTATGCTGAAGCTCAGAAACTCTTTGCTCAGCCATGTCCAGTCTACTAATGAGGCCATCAAAGGCATTCTTTGTGTTACAATTTTTTCTATCCGTAGCATTTCTTGGTTTTTATTAGGATTTCCACCCCTCTGCTTACACTGCCCATCTGTCCTTGGATGGTGTCTACTTTATCCATTAAGACCCTTAGCATATTCATCACAGTTGTTTAAAATGACTGGTCTTATAGTTACAACATTCTGGCTGTGTCAGGCTCTAATGCTTACTCTGTCACTTCAAATTGTGTTTTTTGTCATTGGTTTTTTTTCTTTTTTAAAATATGTCAACATGGTTTACTGAGAGAAAAAAAACTGCCAAAAATACACGTTTTTGTAATGTGTTGGTGAGGTACCAGGGAAAGGGGGAACATTCTGTAATTCTATAATTCTTCATTAATATCAGTCTTTTAGTGAGCCTGTACCTCTGGATTGTGAACTTCAGAAGTTTTTCTCAAATTTTTTTTTCTCCCCTCTTAGTTGGGACAGGATGATGGCTAGTGTAGATTGGAAATGGGTATTTTAATTCTCCCAGGCATAAAGTTAGAGGGAACTAGAGTTGGGTATTTTTACTACAGGTCAGTTAGACTGATTCTGCCCCAGCAAGTAGGGCTCTTATTACATAGTCTCTCCTGAGGTCAGGCCTTAAGAACAGAGTATTTTGACATATTTCAAAATGGTTCCTTTTCTCTTTCCCCTGCAGAAGCATGAGGGAATTTTTCTCTAATATTTACTGTGGGGATATGGGAACCTGGTGGAGCTCCTGAAGGTAAATTTCACAATACTGTGGAAGCTGCCTTATGACTCAGTTCCCTGGAGTTTTATCTCTCAGAATTGTTCACACTGAGCCTCCAACAATTCGTCATTTATAGTTCAAGTTTTTCTGTCCTGGCACTATTTCCTGTGGCTTTTGCTATACCTGAGTTTCTGCCTTTATAAGTTGTGACTTTTCACATATGCCTTTCTGTGTCTCCAATCTTGGGAGCAGTACTTTTTTGGGGGGTCTTCTTCTCTCTTGCCAATCCAATAAGAATTGTTGATTATTTGTTCTGTTCAGTTTTTCACTTGTTGTAAAGACAGAGTGGCTAATTCTAAGCTTTTTGGAACTAGAAACCAAAAGTCTGATTTCATAATCCACTTGTCTTTTTGCTGAGTATACTCATACCCTGAGTCTGGTTCAGGTCCTGATCAGCAAGGAAGAGTTTTCTTACAAGTCATTTGTCACAGTATCAAAGTAAATGCAGATGTTATTACAAATTAGATATAATTACATAGAGAATAAGAAAATTGAAGAAAACTTAAAAAAGTCTAATTTGTAATCTCAAAGAGATATAATAAAATATTGTATTTTTCAAAAATTACTCTGAAGCTATGGAAAAGGAAACATTTTGGGACAAAAAAAATCAAGCAAGCAACAAACAAATATACAGGTTTAAAAAAAATAGAGAGAGAGGCTTGGAAATCAATACCAAGAAGCAGACATAGAAGGAATTATTCCAGGATGAAATGGAATGATTTCATCCCAGAGTAACTTACCCATAGATTTAAAAAAACTATTGATAGATTATGTTTTTATTGCATTTAGAAGATTTTGTTGTTGCTGTTTCTGACAAAGAGCTTAACCTTGGACCAATATTAAGTAAATGGAAAATAAACAAATGAGAACTAAAGACAAACATAATATCATAATGTAACAAATGAAAACTAAAAACTAATGTAAGGTGATAATATATCAAGTTATATAAATATCTTAGGCTCAACTAAGAAATGTATTTACAGGCATAATAATATAAACAATATACATTAAGCTAATCAATTTGTAACTAAACTGTAAAAGAGGAAAATGATAATTGCATGGCAAGAATAATATAAAAGGACATATGAAAAGTTATACATTTCTATAGTAGAGAAGTTGATATTGTATATCAAAAACTTAAATAATTATTTGTATAAACCATTTACATATAGCATGGAGAGAAATATAAGAAAAAAATTCTTAAAACAGTTGTATGCAGTTGCTTCTGGGGAATAGGAATCAGAGTTGGACAGTAAGGAAAGGGAAATGATTTTTTTATTGTAAAATTTTAGGATAAATTGTATTTTATAATTATATACATATATGTATATATGCATATTTGATTAAGTAAAATATAAATTAAAATGAGAGACTTCCATGTGTACCTACTGCCTACCAGAGCTTCAAAGTTGCCAACTACATCCTCAGCTGAACAAACTAAAAATCAATACGTCTTATTAGATCCATCTGAGACTTGAGTTTATATGACAAATTGGCTGAAGTGATATGTTCTCATTAGCAACAGCCTTCCCTCAAGGGAAACTCAGAGCCTAACTAATTTGGGTTTTGCCAGAATTTAATGAACATGGGAGAAGGAAAACACCCAACTGCAGCCTTCTCTAGGTTTCTTGTTCTACCTAAGTGGGTGGGTGATAAGTCCTTGGAAGATCTTAGCCTAGACACACAGGCTTACTAAAACACAGAGACCTAATCATAGAACTATGGAATGCTTCTCATTCCCCTACATCATACTAACACATCAAAAGTTCTCCTATTTAATAACAGGGAATTACAATTAAAATAACTGCAAAGTAACTGCATCGCTCAGATCCTTTTTAAGAAGAAATTTCTAGAGAAATTCAAACAACAGAGGAGGCAAAAACAACAGGAAGAAGAAATTTGGGGCACTGACACCACAGCTACAGAAAAAAGTAAATGCAGCCTAACTCCTAGCCAAATAAACATAGAAGCTTACATCAAAGGACTATTATCTTGGTTTTTTAAAAAATATTATTTTCAGTTTTAAAAACAAATAACAAGCTGTGCTAAAAGGCACAACACATTCTGAAATCACAAAGCAACCCTTAGAATCAGACTGAGATATGGCAGGTATTTTGAAGATATCAGACTGGGAATTGAAAACAACTATGATTACTATGCTAAGAACTCTTAATGAAAAAAGTGGACAACATGCAAGAGCATATGAGTAATAGATTCAGAGTGATAAAAATTCTAAAGAAAAAATTAAAAGGAAACTATAGAAGGTTTTAAAAATACATTGTAACAGAAATGAAGAAATCCCTTATTAATGGCTCATTAGTAGACTGAACATAGCTGAGTTAAGAAGCAGTAAGCAAGATAATACGCAGTAGATATTCCCCAAACTAACAATGTAAAGACAAAAATAATAATTAAGATAAATCAACCTAGAATAGAATAACCAAGAGCTGTGAAACAATTACAAAAGTATAACTACTTGTGATAGGTATAGCAAAAGAGAAGAAAGAGAATTTCCAGAAGAACATATGAAATAATAATGGCTAATAATTTTCAAAAATTGATGACAAAGCACAGATCCAGGAAGTTTAGAGAACAAGCATGATAAATCAACAACAACAACAAGCACATTTAGGCATATTATATGCAAACTGCAAAAAAAAAGAAAAGTCATAAACATAAAAATATTAACTATAGTCATGCATTGCTTAATGATGGGAATACATTCTGGGAAATGTGTCAGTAGCAATTTTCTTGTGTAAACATCAAAGTGTGTACTCACACAAACCTAGATGGCATAGACTACTACAAACCTATGCTATACAGTGTAGTCTTTTGCTCCTAGGCAGTCCTGTAAGGCATGTTAGTGTACTGAGTACTATAGGAACTTTAACAAAATGGTATTTGTGTATCTAAACATATCTATGTATAGAAAAGATACAGTAAAAATACAGTATTATAATCTTATGGAAACACTATTATGGATGTGGTCTGTCATTGACCAAAACAATTATGTGGCACAAAACCACACATCAAGTACTTTTTGTGTGTGTGTCAATGGCCTAAATACCCAAATTAAAAGACAGAGTCTATTACAATGGTTACAAAAGCAATACTATCTACATATTCTCTATAAGAAAATCAGGCCTGAGGCAGTGGCTCATGCCTGTAATCGCAGCACTTTGAGAGGCTGAGGCAGGCGGATCACCTGCGGTCAGCAGTTTGAAATCAAACTGGCTAACATGGTGAAACCAAATCCCTACTAAAAATACAAAAATTAGCCGGCATGATGGTGCACTCCAGTAGTCCCAGCTACTCTGGAGGCTGAGGCAGGAGAATTGCTTGAACCCAGGAGGTATAGGTTGCAGTGAGCCTAGATCACACCACTGCACTCCAGCTTGGGTGATAGAGCTAGATTCCGTCTCAAAAAAAAAAAAAAAAAAAAAAAAGGAAAAGAAAAAAAAGAAAAATACATTAAATATAAAGATAGATATTTTTAAAGAATGAAGAAAGACATGCCCTGCTAAAATTTATTCAGACAAAAGCAGGACCCAATCAAAATCCCAGAATGTTATTCATGGGATGTTGACAAACTGATTCTAAAATTTATATGTAAAGCCAATAATAAAAAGAACAAATCTGGAGAACTGACATTACTAAACTTCAAGACATACTATAAAGCTACAGTAGTCAAGACAGTGTAGTACTGGCAAAAGAATAGTTAAATAGATCAATGAAACAGAACAGAGAACCCAGAAATAATGTACTCATGCAAATATAATTAACTAATCTTTGACAAAGGAACCAGGGCAATCAAATGAAGGAATGACAGCCTTTTCAATAAATATTACTGAAACAAGTGGATTCACATGTTAAAGAACGAATCTGCATACTGACTTTATGGCTTTTTTAAAAAAATTAACTCAAACTAATTTATATACCTAATTGTACGATGAAAAGGTGTAAACATTTAAGAAGACAATGTAGGAGACAATCTAGGTGACCCTGTGTTTGGCAATGAGGTTTAGAAACAACACCAAAAGTATATTTTTTTTAATTGGCAAATTGGCCTCAGTTAAAATTTAAACTTCTGCTCTGTAAAAGACACTGTGAAGAGAATGTTTTTCTAAAAAAATAAAAAAAATACACTCGCATACCAGGAAAAAATATTTGCAAAATATCTGATAAAGGACATATATCCAAATATAAAAAAATCCCTTAAAACTCAACAGCAAAATTACAAACAACCCAATTTAAAAGTGAAAAAAAAATTGAAAAGACACCTTACCAAAAAAGATATGTAAATGGCAAATAGCATATGAAAAAATGCTTAATGTCAAATGTCATTAGGAAATTGCAAATTAAAATAACAAGGAAATTCCACTTACACATCTAGTAGGTAGAATTTTTTTTTTTTTTTGAGACAGAGTCTCACTCTGTCACCCAGGCTGGAGTGCAGTGGCAAAATCTTGGCTCACTGCAGCCTCTCCCTAGCAGGTTGAAGCAATTGTCCTGCCTCAGCCTCCTGAGTAGCTGGGACTACAGGCGTGTGCCATCACACCCAGCTAATTTGTTTTGTATTTTTAGTAGAGACAGGGTTTACACCATGTTGACCAGGACGGTCTCAATCTCCTGACCTCATGATCCACCTGCCTCCCAAAGCGCTGGGATTACAGGCGTGAGCCACCACGCCTGGCCTAGAAATTTTTTAATTCAAAACCTGGGCAAAACCAAATCTTGGCAAAGATGTGCAGCAAGGATGTGGAGCAAGGATGTAAAGCAACATTCATTGCTGGTGAAAATGGAAAATGGTACAGCCACTGTGTAAAATTGTTTAGCAGTTTCTTAGAAAGTTAAACATAGTCCAGCAATCGCTGTCTTAGATATTTACCCAAATAAGTTGAAAACTTATGATCACACAAAGCCCCATATATAAACGTTTATGGCAGTTTCACTTATAATTGACCAAACTTGGAGGCAACAAAGATGATCTGCAACAAGTAAATGGATAAACAATAAGTAGTACGTCTATGCAATGGAATATTAGCCTGCTGTACAAATGAATGAGCTATCAAGACACAGAAATTCATGAAGGAGCTTTAAATTCATACTGTTAAGTGAAAGAGGCCAGTCTGCAGTCTACGTGCTACGTGGTTCCAAGTATATGACATACTGGAAAAGAAAAAACTGTAGAGACACCAAAAACATCTGTGGTGGCCACAAGGAAAGGAGAGGGATGAATAGGTATAGGGGATATTTAGGGCAGATGAATCTACTTTGTCTGATGATATAATGGTGGATACAGGCCAGGCACGGTGGCTCCCGCCTGTAATCCCAGCACTTTGGGAGGCCAAAGCGGGTGGATCACCTGAGATCAGGAGTTCAAGACCAGCCTGACCAACATGGTGAAACCCATCTCTACTAAAAATACAAAAATTAGTTGGACCCATGCCTATGGGTCTGGTGGGCTCATGTAATCCCAGCTACGCGGGAAGACGAGGTAGGAGAATCACTTGAACCTGGGAGGCAGAGGTTGCAGTAAGCCTAGATTGCACCATGGACTCCAGCCTGGGCGACAGAGTGAGACTCCATCTCAAAAATAAATAAACAAATAAAAATAAATAAACAAAGCGTGGATACATTACATTATGCTTTGGTCACAACCCATACACCAGTAAAACCCAAATAGTAAACCCTAGTGCAAATTACAGACTTCAACTAGTAACAATATTGGTCCATTAGTTATAACAAATGTGCCACACTAATGAACAATATTAATAGGGAAAACTGTGCTGGTTGAAGTTGGGAATAGGAAAACTCTACTTTCAGCTCAATTTTCCTGTAAACCTCCTAAAACTTCTCTAAAAAATACCGTTTATCATTTTTTAAACTGACTTTACATGCACTACACCAGTTGATAATTAAAATCAACCTATAACAAAAATCTACGGTAGGAATTATTATTACTCAACAAATTATTCAGACTACCAGTTGGCACATTACTAAGAGGCTTCAAAATCAGGCAGAATAGTGACACTTGGAATGAGTAAGAATATATTCAACATATTCAGTTGTTTAATGACATGGAAAAGTGAATATTTTGAGAAAATTATGTTATATAGTTATGATGAAAGGTAGAATTACAAAGAACATCCTGGTTTATGTTAAATGTTGCAGAAATGAATGCTAGGAGTCAAACTTTGACATGCCAGAAGAGGCACAGAGAAAAATAACAATCCATATAATAATCCATTACATTATATTTTTTACCTTAAAATTACTTTAGATGTAATTTATCTTCTGTCACATCCTAGGCACACTTGAAGACTAAGGAGGAGAAATAATTAGAATTTTGTCTGGTTCACTGGCAAAGTTGAGAGATGCAACTCTTAATTTGAGAAGAAAAGCTATTTTTATTCAGGATTCTAATGAATGGATGTAGCCATTCATCTGAAATCTTAGTTAAGTGCCCAAGTAGAAATATATGTATAGGAAGATGTGTTTATAATCAACTGTCAAGTAAAAGATGGTGACAGAAAACACAATAATTATCCTACAGGATATATATATATATATATATATATATATATATATATATATATACACACACACATACACACATAAAAAACTACAGGATATATTCAAGAAAGAGAGGAAAAGAATTGTGGGATAAGTTCTAAGCCTTTTATAACACTCATTGGCAAGGCTAGAAAAAGAACTAATAAAATGAAGAAATAAATATTAGGCCAAAATACAAGAAGGAGGGGTTGGGGGTTGGGCAGCTTTCCAAGGTAGTAAGGATGGCGGCGTCATACACTCTAAGTCTTTACATTGAAGGCAGGGAATTAGGACAGCTTAAGGGAAGTATCTAAATAGATGTGGAAAATTTATTTTCTGCCGCCATCTTTTCTGCACTCTCTCATTTTATTAATCTGCTTTCTCCACGTGTTTAGTTTTCATCTAGAAGAGTGCTTCTTGGCAAAATGTTCTCTGCCTTTTTTTATAAGGTATGAGGTAATGCTGTTGCTGCTGGTTTAAACAACAATTTGTAAATCAAATTTTTAGATATCACCACTTCAAATCTCTCCTCCGTGATTTCCAATTATAAAATTATTCTTACTCCTTTCCCTCTTTTTATCAATATTTTATTTTATTAAATGATGGAAAAATACATTATGGGATTCCTTCAAAATTCTGAGACAAGGAGTTTAATTTAAAACATGTAAAAAAAGATTTGCTTTTTCTCCAATTATTTTAGGGATGCTATATCAATTCACATCCAAGGTGCTATTAGACAAAGTAAAATGGAGTCCCATATATACGATTATTTTTTAAAATATGAGCATGCGTTAGTGGCTTTGTGCTTTTGATGGATCCAAATGACAGATCCATGGACTCATAAAGTTTTTTTTTCTTTTTTTAGTGTGGATGAATATTTTTCTAACTGTTTTACCTAATAACAAGAAGGCATCACATGTCACCTTTGCTTCCTAATGAGTTCTTGAAAATCATGATGGCAGCTATCTTTTCACCCAAAGAATCAAATAGCTGTCATTCTACACTAAATTACTTCCAATCTTCTGAAACTAGAGAACTAAAACACTATTTTGTTTTTCTCTATCATTTTAATGTATTACAAAATATTATTACATAATTGAATTGAATATTAAATAGAAGTTTTTAACTTATACAGATATTCCTCATCTGTAATAAGGATTGCACATTATTTCTACAATTATGATAATCCCACTGACTCCCTGGGATTATATTTCAGAAGCATTTACAATGTTCAGAAAGCTGGAAGTAGGCAAATAATTATAGCACTATTTATATCAAAGTTATGTTGGCTTATAACAAAAAACTTATCAAATATAATTGACATGTTTTTCAGAAAAGTCTGTGGGATGTATTTCTGAAACAAAGTTTGTATTCAATATTCAAGCAGTTTTCTTTCTTAGTAGACACAAGTATGGAGGGACAGAGAAATGGAACCTATGTAGAGCAGTCAATTGTTCTGGGAGAGTTCCATAAATAACTAACATACAATCGTTTCCAAAAGCCAGCACCATAAGGGGTTTGGAAGGCCCCAGCTCATAGATCCCTGTGTCCAGTTTTTATGGAGCAAACCAGTCACTATTGCCCAAGGATTTACCTGGATTTACGTGGATGGCTTTTTCACCTAAAATCCAAGTAAGATTCCAGGCTTGACTTCAAACCCAAAACAGAAATTGATGTAGGGTAAAAAATTAGGTCAATTTCCTCAGTTGCACAAGTGAATAAGCGAAGTTTTAATAATGCTTTAGTCTCATAACTAAACACTTTTCCAAATGATTAAAAAATGCTGTTTATAGAAAAATAATATTAACTGTTGCCATCTATGTTTAATTTTTAACTTTTTTTAACCACATTTATAATCAATAGTTCGGATTAACTTTGTTGTGAATTTTATTTGAGTTTCTTTCTGAAACTTTTTTAAGAAGTTTGTGACTTCTTAATTTGTGACTCATGCCCTATGCTTTTATACTTATATCCTAAACAATTGTTTAGGATTAATAAATATGTAGAATATGAGTTCATCAGTTCCTTACGTGTTCTAATAATAGGAATTTTGATATTAGGTTGCAAAAATTTTGGATAGATGAATCACTAATTGTGGAATGGGTAGACAAGTAACTTTTATTAAAAATTGCTAGGAAAAACTCATTGAAAGCAATCAAATATTGCTGTACTTGAGAGCAGTTCAAGATCTTTGTGAAATAATTTTGTACATATTAATATTCAATTATGTATTTGGTCATTATATTTACATAGAAATTCAGAGGAAAGTTATAAGTTTGGAATAATATGCTCTATATGTTTTACGTTGTTGTGCTTTTGACTCTAGTTTAAAAGGATGAACTTATACTTATCTTCACAGCAGCAGCCTTTTTATGGTAATACTGAGGATAGAAAAACTTCCTAGCATTTACATGCCATGTAAAATAATTAACAGTATATGCAATAGATTTGCATTTATTACTGTTTTTGTGTTTTAACAGATAATTTAGCATGCATTGTATTTGGCATATACTCCAATGCATGTAAGAATATTTTCTTCAGCTGACAGGTACTGAGTGAAGACAATGAGCGCATGTTAACTCCATCATCCTAGCAAACTCTGTAATGATTCCTCGTGGGATATGTTAAAGTATGCTAAAATAAGTTATTATAAGTCAAAATGTCTTTGGGCAAAAATAAATTGCTTCCAGAGCCATTAAAGCTGCTGAGTAAGGTATTTAACTTATCAAAAATTATTCTCTATTTTACACGTCTTTTCTTAATTCATTTAAATTTTTATTGCAACTGATATTTTTTCATGTAAATTGCAATAAACTTACTAATAAGCTTTACTCACAGTTATATTAGATTTTATTTATTTATTTTTAAACGTATCAAAGTTATATTATGCTCGTTGATTTGGAGCCCTTAAGGAAAAGGTATTTATGAAATATAAAAATATTGAAATAATGAAATATACAACATTATTATGGAACTGACAAATAATGAGTAGGAATTAGACACAAGGCAAAGAACTGGACCAAAGAGTGTTACATGGGTGAACAGTCACAATAATTCCTCCACTTTATTGAGCTCCTTGTATCTGCTAGTAATGAATATTTTCTTTATTACCTTCAACAATATATTATATTGATCCACTCTTATAGCACCATTTTCCTTTCATTCGCCATTATTTGTTATTTGCACCTTTTTGACAATTTGCCAAAAGTCAAAAAACTCTTAAGTTAGGATTTGTATTCCCATCTAAAAAGCCACTTATTCAGAGTGAATAATTTTGATTGAAGAAGTGGCAAACATCTGCTATATTCTGGGTAAGCTCACTTCAGTGGACCATAAATATGAAGTGTCATGGGAGATAATGCCACAGACAGGGAAGCAATGAGTTGCGTCCCATTTAGCCTCAGGGAAAGGTGTATCATACCAAGATAATTTGGGAATGCACAAATTTATCACTCTTGTGATTTTAATTAATTATTTTAACAAATTAATGTTCATATATTTGTCAAATGTTCTGTTGGTCATTTGAAACATCTACATACAGTTTGGAAGTATCATTGAGTGAGCATTACCTCTGACCTAGGCAAAGATGAAAACTACTTTCAGTCTCTCCTAGGAATTTAGTAGGAGGAAATAAAGATGGGCATAAAAATAACAAAAGGGCAAATTAGATTCTGTTGATCGTTGTAATATAAGCGCTGATAATAAAGTTAAAAGCAGAGAAAGGAAATATTATTTGCATGAAAGAGGAGAGAATGGATTGAGATTAGGATAGATCCTGAAATTGGACATTTAGGTTAGGCTTTTAACAATGTTAGAATTAAACACCTTATGTACAAAGGTAGTACAACAATGTAGTTTCATAATAAATTTATGAAATAGTAAGTTTTAGAAATTTTAACTATATTTATTTTTATGTAGTATATGGCTTAGATAATACCAGTGTGAGTTTTTATTAGTTGTAAACATTTTGTGTCTATTATATGCTAATTACTATACATATTAAGAACAATGGATATAACAATAAATTTAGCAAATATAATATTAACCTTTAATGAACCTAGTGGGGGAAATAAAAACCATTAAAGTAATTACAGAGTATATGTAAATGAAAAAGTGGAAGTAGGATGTCTTGAGGATACAAAACGACATTTGACCTTAACTGCTTGTCAAGAAAGCCTTCCTGAAGAATAGCATCTAAGAAGAACTGTAAAGCGTGAACAGGAGTTGGTGTGTTAGAACCCTGAGGAGGGAGGTTTCCAGACTGAGGAGACAGTGAATTTATAGTAACAGAGTCTAAAGAGAAAACTTTATGTTCAAGAAAACAAAAGTCCACAACTGTCAGAAGTGTGACAAAACAGGAGTGAAGAGTGAAGATAAAATCAGAGTCTAGACCAGGCGTGGTGGCTCATGCCAGTAATCCCATTACTTTGCGAGGCTGAGGCGGGCAGATCATATGAGTTCGGGAGTTTGAGACCAACATGGTGAAACCCTGTGTCTACTAAAAATACATAATTAGACGGGCGTGGTGGCGCATGCCTGTAATCCCAACTACTCGGGAGGCTGAGGCAGGAGAATCCCTTGAACCCGGGAAGAAGGGGTTGTGGTGAGCCGTGATCACGCCATTGCACTCCAGCCTGGGCAACAAGAGCAAAACTCTGTCTCAAATAAAAAAAAAAAAAAAAAAAAAAAAAAGAAAACAGAGTCTAGGTCTTGAAGTATATTCAAACGATTGTGGATAATTTCATTACATTTCCAAAAAGGTGGGTATGGTTGGACTAGTACTAGAAAGAAATTCAGAACTTTTAAAACCAGTATTAAGTCACTCATTATCAAATGTTTATTGAGCAAATTCCATGTGCTATGCAATGTTATTCATTGCAAAATGAAGAGGGATACGTGACCATACTTATTATGCAACTCAAGGAGATAAACATGAGAAGCACCAACATAAATAAGGGACCAATAAATCTATTGTTAGAAGTCAATTGAAAATAGTATAAAGGTAATAGAGCTAATTACAATGACAAGCCAGGCGTGGTGGCTCATGCCTGTAATCCCAGCAGTTTGGGCGGCTGAGGTGGGTGGATTACCTGAGGTCAGGAGTTCGAGACCAGCCTGGTTAACATGGCGAAACCCCATCTCTACTAAAAATACAAAAATTAGCCAGTCGTGGTGGCATACGCCTGTAGTCCCAGTTACTCGGGAGGCTGAGGCAGAATTGCTTGGATAAATACACAAAATTGCTTGATAAAATAAACAAAAATATTTATTTTAACCTGAAGAAACTAGTGTTTTTCAGGTTTGTAGATAATAAAAAGACATGATGACATTTGCATTACAAATTATGGTGTCTTCATCATGGAGAATAAGTTTTGTTATGGCTATGTGAACTTAAAGAAATGGATATTCTCTAATTGTTGACTGTAAAAATTGTGTGTGTGTGTATGTGTGTGTGCTCGGGTGAGTGCCCTCCTGCACACGCTCATGTATTCACTCAATTAAATATGCTAATTTTGGTTTTCAAATCTTCTGGGTTCATACTATTATTTTAAATTCTTCAATTATTAGTTTTATAGAGTAGTGGTTAATTCTTCCCCATTTTATATAGTAACTTCCTTAAAAACCGAGTATAGTAGTGTTTTTTCTTTAAATAGTAATTTAACTTAATGTAGCTACCCTGGTGGCTCTCTTTCAGTAAGTACTTGCCTGGTGTAAAATATCCACCATGTTCTCTCTCAAAATGTTCTTATGAATACAAAGTACTATAAAATACTTGATTTCATGGTACTATAAAGTACTATAAAAATACTTGATTTTGGTAGCTTTTTTTGCCACTAAATCTAGTTATTTTTTGTTTTTCTTGTTTGTTCTTATATCCTTTTTTCCTATTTCCCTGCCTTTGTAAAATTGAAGATTTTTATGATTCCATTTTCTCTCTATTACTGGCTTACTAGTACATTTTTCTGTAAATTTTAGTTGTCATTTTAGGGTTTATTATATAATTTTTTAATGTATCATGTTATACTTTCAAATAATTTCAAATAATAAATGCTGACTCCCTTTTGGGATGTAGGTGTGAGTTCTTCAGAGGCTACCAAAGAACATTAACTGTCTCGGGATACACTCTTTGCTTTTAGCCTCCTAAATTATTGGTCAGAAAACAGGTAATTATTTCTGAGGTCTTGCACCACAGGCAGGCTGCACCTTTTTATCAGGTACTGATCAAGATTGCCCAAGTCTCTTTACTTCTTCAAGTTCCAATTGGTACACAGAAAATGTATAGCATATGCCACATTGTGCAATGTATGCCAAACATTGTTAGCACAGGCTACCTACTTCTGCCCTTTCTTCATCCTGACATCTATGGCTCCCCCAAGCAGTATCCTCTGCACAGAATTCTCAAGATGAGATCCAGACAGCAGAGAGCAGATAACATGAATGCATGTTATCATGTGTACAAACCGTGGAATGTACTTCTCAAGCTCTTTGTGAACTCTCAACTTCATGTTGACAATAGCTCTGAGGTGGGCTTAGGACTTCCTGCTACTCAGCAAGTGTCCAGATGGGGGAATCCACCACAGTCTCCATTTCTTGTAGATTTAAGACTTAACACTAGGTCTCTAGTAGCTGCTCTCTCTTTCCTTAAAGAATCCACCAGAGTCTCCATTTCTTGCAGACTTAGACTTATCACTTGGTCTCTTGAAGCTGCTCTCTCTTTTCTTAAGTAAAAGAGTGGGTTTCATTTCAAGAGCAGTGGAAAAATGTCAGCACACACAAAACTAAGCCAAAGCTTGTTCATTATTATATATTAAATGTTACTCTATTTCTTTTTGAGTTTTTAGTCTTTTCTTGATAGAGACTAGCAGAAAATGATGAGGTGATTGTTGCATTAGTAGTTCACCCATTCTTGAATAAGTTTCACCTGCAGCTCTTCTTTAGCGTTGTAAGGGCACTTATCACTAATTGCTGTCATTATGGAACTTTTTAATTAAAAATCGAAGACATGGTATATTGTATTCACCTGTTAAATACATTTCCTGGAATAGTATCTGAAATTTCAAATTAATCTCATGTGTTTTCATATATAGTAAGGTTTTAAGTTTCTGTTAACCCTGTTATGCCTCTAGAGTTTGTGTGTGTTTTTGTTTGTTTGTTTTTGAGACTGAGTTTTGCTCTGTCACCCAGGCTGGAGTGCAATGGCATGATCTTGGCTCCCTACAACCTCCGCCTCCTGGATTCAAGCAATTCTGCCTCAGCATCCCGAGTAGCTGGAACTACAGGTGTGTGCCACCACACCTGGCTAATTTTTGTATTTTTAGTAGAGACAGGGATTCGCCATGTTGACCAGGCTGGTCTCGAACTCCTGACCTCAGGTAATCCACCCACCTCGGCTGCCCAAACTGCTGGGATTACAGGTGTGAGCCACCATGCCTGGCCTGTCATTGTAATTAGTTTTATTACCTTTATAGCTATTTTCAATTGACTTCTAACAATAGATTTATTGGTCCCTTATTTTTGCTTATGTTTGTGCTTCTCATGTTTATCTATCTCCTTGAGTTGCATAATAAGTATATTCATGTATCCCTTTTCATTTTGCAATGAATAACATTGCATAGCACATGGAATTTGCTCAATAAACATTTGATAATGAGTGACTAAATACTGGTTTTAAAAGTTCTGAATTTCTTTCTAGTACTAGTCCAACCATACTCACGTTTTTGGAAATGTAATGAAATTATTATTTTATTGTAAATATCTTTTAATACTGCAGCTTATTTTATCTATAGAAGTTCTAACTTTTCCACAAATGTTTTTAAGTATAAGTTTTTCTGTTAGTTTTGCTGTGTTTTTCAGTTGAGCAATCATATGAGCGTGGATTTTGAGGTTCTACTGCTGCACCATAGATAAACTATTAAACCTATTTGAAAGAAAATGGTGGTCATAAAATTACTTAGCACAAAATATTTTTCTGAATATTTACAGAGTTGATGTATATAAAAGTCATAGAAAAAAAATCACACATAGTAAATACTAAGCTTTTGCAGATATTAATCATTTCTAATTGTTATTTTATATTTAACTTTAATTCATTGTGATATGACAATATAATATTTTTGTTGATGTTTCTTTGGTATTATTTGGGTTTACACTTTATCTTTGAACATGATTTATTTTTGTGATTGATTAATGTAAATATAATGTGTATTCTGTGCTTTTGGTGTGTAGAGTTTTTAAATTATTGAACAAGTGTTATTAAATGTAATATTGAATCCTTTGTATTTCTATTTCTATTTAATTCTCATTGATATAGTAGTATCTTAAAATATTAAAGGAAAATCCTCATCTACAATGCTGATTAATCTATTGAAGTCTGTAATTCTTTTAATTTTTGCTTTATAACTGATAAGGCAGAATTTTGCGGTTCTTATATGTTCAAGATGAAAATATAATTTTGATCTGTTTTTCTTTTAACAATATGTGATATTACTTTTTGACCCTGTGATTTTTGCTTAAATTTAATTTGGGAAGGGTTGTAAATAAATTAGTGTCCTTAACTACCAGCAAGTAACTGTTGGCATGTTCAAGCAAATCTCAACAATTTTTAATAAAGGAATTATTTACAATGATCAGAAATACATGGGTTTACACAACTATCCATGGTTGTAACCACCTCTGAGTAAAAAAGGGAGGAATATAAGAAGTAATCACTGGAATGTAGAATTAGAAGTTATGTGAAGAGGGTGACTCTAACTTTTGGTCAAAGGTCAGAGTCAGCTAGAGGGAAAACTTTAGGAAAGAGCTTGAAAATGAATTGCCTGACCTTATTTGTCACCGTGCTTATATTTCAAAAGGACTCTCAGTAGCTAAATGCTACAAAATAACTAAAGGTCAATGGAGTCTATTGATACTGTTCAAAGAGGTCTGTCTCCTAGGTCAGACAAGAGAGTGAAGAAAAGGGAAAGATGATTCTGGATGGGTAAATAGAGGAGGTTCAGCACAATCAGTTTTACTTTCCTCTCAATATTTACTCTTGTCAGGTTAAAAAAATACCATCATAAAAGGAATTTGCTAATTTATATCCATTGTCATATCATCATAGAGTGATATAAAATCAGTCATACTCTAAGCAACACTGGAGTTCTTTTTACAAATTGGTGATGGTAAAGAAGGGGGATGGCATTAAACAGTATAAGAACAGCTGCTATTATATCCAATTTTCCAGCATAAAATGAAACCTGAATTAGTTAGCTGCTAGCTTAAGACAATAATCCACCTTCTAGAACTGTTCAAAGCTTCAAAGCTTCGAAACTTTGGTTCGCAAGTGGGCACTGTATATGTAATATCATCAGCAATTTCTTTATTTCTTTTTTTGTAATAAAGTATATCTTTCAGTCAAAGGAAATGTGGCGTGAGTAACACTTGTCAATGGAATCACTAGCGATACTTGGGTAGCTAGAAGCAAACATGAATGGTATGCATAGTACCAGTTACCTTTTTACTTGATTACGGCAAAACTTCTCTGCAGATGTCCTCTTCTGAGTATTTAAATGGAATATGAATGTATACACACAGTATGCCCATTTTGAGCTGTCTCTCCCCTACATTCCATGGGGTTGTAAATTTTATTTTATCCACATCTCCGCATACCAACCTAACTCACTTGTCATTGCCCATGTGTCCAGTAAGTATAGGTGCATTTCTCAAGCCTTGACTTAACAAAAAAAATTGTGATATACTTCTAGATACAACACAAAGTTTTGTCTAAAGAAAGGATTTCCTGCCACTATTGTATTTTTTCCAAAGGTGAATTTTGAAAATTTTCAGGGAAAGTTGAAAGAATTTTACAGCAAAACAAATATACTTCTTTCCTCTGCTCTAATATAAAACCATCGTTTTTACTTTACTTGTTTTATTACATACCCATCCGTTCCTATTTCCAGTTATTAATTCACCTTATTTTTGAAGAAATTCAAAGAAAATTGTATGTCCCAGTATATTTACATCTAAATGTTTCAACATTCATAGTATTAGCAGTCATCTAATATTTGTTTATGGTTCTTTTATAGGTAAAATTTTCATTCAATAAAGTGAAATTTTAAATATATGATATGATGGGTTCCAGCAAATGTGTACACCTGTGCTAGTAATTCTCTCTAATGTATATTTCATTACCCTAAAACTCACTAACATTCATGAATATATTTTATAGAAAAGAGTGTGATAACAGATTCAGTTGCCAAATGGAAATAGAACATTCTCAGTGATGTCATCTATATGAGATGAGACACAGAGCAGCAAAGCAGAAGAAACAGATGCCATGGAAGTCTAAGCCACCTATTCAAGAATTTTAACTATATCTTCCACAATATATTGGCTTCTTATATATTACTTTTAATTTATAATAAAATGCTGCTGCACACATAGATCATATGTTTAAATGAATCAAGCAATACTGGTTCATGCTGAGAAATTCGCATCACATCTTTTGCTATTTTATGATCAGCCATTGTTTCTATTGCCTTATGATTTCCCTTTTGAAGCTTGCTGGGGATTCCTCAGATTATCCCAGCTAAAGCTCTGGGTATATCGTGTCTGCTATGTCAAAAGTTAAAATGATAAAGATGGCAGGCCTGTTCTTGCTGTGCTTCTCAAGAGAAAACTGTAGTGATACCAATTACTAGGTAAATGGGACACAGCAGCATTTCCAAACACATGTGGCATGTGCATGTGTAATTTCTCTAAAGTTACCCTTTAGGCAGGTGAGTAAAAGTAATATGTTTCCTGTTTAACTTCAAGAAAACTCATTTTGACTTCCATTTTTGAATGGAAAAGAAAGCATTTTTTCTCATCAATAGCTGCGCAACGTGTCAGAGATGTTCAGTGTCCCAGGAAAAATGCTACTGTAGGAAAATAGCAACAATTGGTATCATCACTTGATTAAGTCTGTTGTCATCTGCTCCATCTGTCTTTTGCACCTGTCAAATAGGCATGTTGTAGGAATCTTCATCCTTACTACATCTTTTAAAGCTTTGATATTGGCATTAATTTCTGCCACTTCTTATGTAACCTTGGAGGAAACTCAGCTTCCAGTTGGTCCTTTGCATCGTGGTTTATCTCTTTCTGTGGGTCAGGACACTTACTGTCAGAATTCTGCTAAATGAATGCTATTTTCTCTATACATTTTAAAACTGAAGAAATGTAACTTCTGTGAGCCATGATGAGGCCATCTTGGACCAACGCTCTTTGTGTCATTTGACCTAATCTATTTAAAATGATAAATATTCAAAAATATAAATAAAGTATAATAACGGTGTCTTTGAATGCTAAAAGAATGTACATGAAATTGGAGAACAATAAAGAAACTTAGAATGGTGGCTAGATACCAAAACAATGCATACAATGCAATTGATTTACTTTCTGCCAGCACCAGGTAGCTGGAAATTACAGATCATGTTCAATAATATCTGGATATAATTATGGTAGAAGAAGTTTAACAAAAGATTGCAAGTTTTATATTTATATATATGTAAAGCTTTATTGAGATATATTATACTTAAATATGTATATATCATGTTTTAAATTTTCAAGTATAGCCCAGTGAAAAATAGAATTTTTTTCAAATTATTTTTAAGGTCATTTCAATCACAAACAAAAGATCAAGGAATAGTCACGATACTCATGAAGGAAAACATAGTGCCTAGACTTACTCTATCAGATGTCAAAAATTATGAAGTAATGTTGTGTAAGACAGTATAGCAGTAATAAAGGGATAGAAAATAGACTTATAAAATGTAATATAGAAACCAAAAGCCAACACATATGCATTAACACTTTTATATGACAAAAGTGGTATTACTTCTTTATTAAATACGTTTATCATTCAAATAAGGTATTTAGTCTGAAGAGGAGAATAACTATCAAGGTATGTTAAAAGAAATACTAGGGAATAATTATATTACCCAAATCCAGATGATGATTTTCCTGATGATATTCCAACATTAAAATAATGTATTAATAATGATGGAAAGTAAATAAATATAAAAGATAAATATATTTAAAATGCTTGAGACTTTTCGTTTTGACTTAAGTTGTTCAAAACTTATTTTCATTGCTTCCTTTCTTTAAAATCTTTTAAAATGTATGATAAAAATATTTAAAACACTGAACATGCAGTAGGCATAAATGGAAATTTGCAA